>NC_000022.11:34770170-34921685 GCF_000001405.40 Homo sapiens | reverse complement strand
ATGGTATTTCTGGTTTTAGATCCCTGAGGAATTGCCATACTGTCTTCCACAATGGTTGAACTAATTTACATTCCCACCAATAGTGTAAAAGCATTTCTATTTCCCCATAGCTTCACCAGCATTTATTGTTTCTTGATTTTTTAATAATCATCATTCTGACTGGCATGAGATGGTATCTCACTGTGGTTTCGATTTGCTTTTCTCTAATGTTCAGTGTTGAGCTTTTTTATGTTTCTTGGCCGCATAAATGTCTTCTTTTGAGAAGTGTGTCTGATCATATCCTTTGCCCAGTTTTTGATTTTTTTTTTGTAAATTTGTTTAAGTTCCTTGCAGATTCTGGATATTAGATCTTTGTCATGCAATACAGTGTTTTAAAATTAAGATATATATGTTGTTTTCTCAGATACTATTGCACACCTAATAGTGTAAACATAAATTTTATATGCACTGGGAAACAAAAAAATGTGTAACTCACTTTATTATATGTGCTTTATTGCAGTGGTCTGGAACTGAATCTGTAATATCTCCAAGATATGCCTTAACTGCAGATTCCAGAATGGATGGCAGGATTGCCATGATTCCAGCTTGCATGACTATACTTCTGCTGTTCCAACAAGTATAGTGCATTACCTTCTCTTCAAGAGAGGATTTTGAAGACCATGAGTCTTGCTTTATGTAATTCCAAATGGGGAAAAGTTAACCCAAACTGTCCTTGAGGAAATAGGTCAAATTCCAGATATAGTTAAGGTACCATTAGTAGGTATAATATGTGTACTCCAAAAGTTCAATGATATGCAATAGAAGTTTATTTCATCCTCATATGAAATCTAATCAAAGGTAGGGCATGGATAGGAATGAGGCCTGCTCCACTCAGTCATTCAGGGACCCAGGCTGATGGTGGTTTTGTCATGTTCAGTAGCTGGCTTCCAAGGTGTCTCCAGACACTGATGTCCAGCCAGCAGACGGCAATGGAGAGAAGTTTTTATGGGCTAGGCCTGGATGGGACATACATCACTTCTGCCTGCATTCTGTTGGCAGTACTCAGTTACATGGCTCCAACTAACTGTGAAGGAGGCTGAGAAATACAGTCTAGCTGTTGTCCTAGGATATACGGAAAACAGATTTGGTGAAAAGCTAGTCTTTGCGATAGACCTTAATCCTTCAGCTGTCCAACAGGATGGAGAAAAGAGATCTGTGCTTTTGTTAAGAATCTATTTCATGGCCAACGGATTGTGGTAAATATTTTTTTCAGAGCATTGCTTTAGAGACTGCTTAGGATATAAGTAAAGAAAAGAAAAGGAAGGGAGGAGTCTAGTAACATGAATTGGGAAAGATGTCATTTTTGATTGGGCTCTGTGTATGCCAATCATGTCTGCTGAGCAGATGAGCCACAATGAGCTGAAAGATGGTGGTTATCAGTCAGGTAGTAAGTGATGTGTTCTCCAAGGCACAGCGTGGTCCAGCCATTGATGTTTCCCCAGTTGCACCTCTTGGCACTAACCATCTCACTGACAGTATTCCAGGCACACTGGCCTTTTGGTTTCCTGACTGCTCTGTGTCACCTGGACCTCAGCCTTTGCATAGCTGTTTCCATTTCCTAAAATGGACTAGACATCCCAATGCTTCTGCTCACCTTGAGCATGAGGCATGTGACATTCCAGTTTCTTCAAATGGTCTCTTCCCAGGACTCTGTGACTGACTGGGTGGGCTTGGGTTCTAGTAGTAGGAAATGCTGCTTGTGGGCTAGGGTTTTATCTTTTTATATGGTGGGTAGAGCACTGTTTATGCCTATGGCCCACCTAATGTGTACAATTTATCATAATTTTGATATAGACATTAAAGACCAAAAGTTAGCCAGCTTTGTGCTTTTATTAACCAAAATGTCTAGGAATTATTGCTTTTTCTTCATTTCATGCCATTTCCTTTCAGTGAGAAATCTGCTTAGTACATTTATTTGCTTTGGATAATAATAGGGTTTGTTTATGTGGGGTGCGTGTGCATGTGTGTGTGTGTGTGTGTCATTTGAAAAATTGTGCCTGGGCCAGGTTGGTACTTTTAGAAGTCTAAGATAAATAACACTATTTTTTTGCTTTGGCTAAATTCCACCTATCTACTGGCAAGTTATCATTCTCAGACCACACTCCCTGCTGCAGCTATTTTTCTCTAAAGTTGCCCAGTGGTGTTTTTGGCCAGAGCTCTTTTTAGTGGAGGTAGAATGAATTAAAGTTTAAGAAAATCAAACAAATATTTACTGAACGCCCACATTTTCTTATTTAAGCCCCCTTGAAACTCTGTGAGAGAGTGTTATTTCCCCCACTGGTGTTTTCATCTCTGTGCTTTCTTTGCCATCCTCAATCCTTTCTCTTTCTTCTCTGAAACCCAGGTTCCTAGGGTAAAGAAGTGTGACAATAATTTGAACTATGAGCTGTATTTTTTTTGTCCATTTTTAGCCAGGTCACCAACAATGAAGGTGCCAATTTCCCCGAGACTAACCTCAAAGGAGACCCTGTGGAGTGTCAGATAAAAGCCACCAGGAAACCCAGAATGGAAGGTTCTGTCTCATTTCCTCAGAGCACAAGTGAAGCAATCTTGCAGGCAGAGAGGTGATGCTGTTTGAGGGAGGCCATGCTACCCCCTCTGGCTTTGATAGGAAAGGGGTTGGGGGCCTTATGCTTCCCATGAAGAGTGGACATTCCAAAGTTGGCCGGAGTGTCTGCTTCCTTCCAGCATCCTAAATGCAAGCTGGTGGCTCACAACAGACATCCTGAAGGAGCGGGACGCAACAGCTGTGGAGAGGGCGGTGGAGAGAGAGGTCAGTGCCCAGGGACGTCTGAGTTCCCACCAGGTGGACTGGCAGGGTTGCTGTGGTAGGCTGCACAATTGTGTCCAATATTTCGTCTCTTCTATATCCATGCCCTTTGCTGGGGGACTTTGGAGTTATTCCTGCTAGAGGTGGGGTCTCTTCCCATATCCCATTGATGTGGGCATGGCCATGTGATTTGCCTTAGCCAATGGGATGTGGGTGAGAGTAACGGGCCGAGTCCTGAGCCTGGAGAAGCATCGTGTGCATGCACGTGTGCATGTGCACGTGTGTGTTTTCACTCAGTCCTTCTGCCATTGCCTAGAGAAGGGCTGGGTTTGCTGGAGAGCCTGCCTTTCCAGGAAAGTGAAAGACACATGAGCCACAACCATACCCGCCACCCGGCAGACCTGCAACCTGAGGCAAGGCCACCTAGTTGACCTGCAGAATTGAACAGTAAATGCTTGTTATTGTAAGCCACAGAGTTTGGGGGTAGTTTGTTATGCAACACTGTTGTTGCGAGAGATAACTGATACAGTAACCTGTAAGGGCCTGGATGAGCCATAGAATTTAGTAGCGACAGGGCTGGCTCACCACCCCACCATACTTCCTGGTGGAGTCAAGGCTAGCATCTCCAGGAAAGGAAAGGCATGCCAGTGGCTTGATTATCCAGGGCAACAAGCTACACAGAAGTCACTCCTGGGGGCCCAGGAGCCATGGAATATGCTGCCACAGATGCAGCAGCTGATGTGCCCAGGTCGAGTCATACACACTCCCTGCTGTGGTGCAGTGGGCAGCATGAAGACCCCTATTGCTTGGGAACAGAATGTGTATTCAACGAGGAGCTTTGAACCAGACAGTCATCCATTTAACAAATATTTATTGAGCACCTACTATGAGCCAGGAACCCTTCTAGGTGCTGTGAATACAGTGGTGAATCAAATCAGTACATCCTTGCCCTCTTACAGCTTATGTTCTAATAACTGATAATAATAATAATAATAATAATAATAATAATAGTTGCATTAGATTGAATGCTTATCTGAGATATGACTAAGTCTTAAAACAGCAGTGACTGGAGAAATTACTAGACAGGACTGTGTGGACTGCATTGGGCTAAATATAATTTTCTTACTGTCAGCTGGGAATAGAGCCTTGTTAAAATAAATTATAGTCAGTATAAAACTGAAGTGAGCTTATGTGCTCACAAATAACTTGTGACTCTCCTGTACTGACTGTTACACTGGAAGCACATCCTGCTTCCTTGACTGCTCTCTCTGCTTTTCTCCTCTTTGCTGAGGGCTGCCTTCCTCTAAATATACCACTTTACCTGCCCTCGCTGTGGGGAGCTGCATGTTTCACCACGTGCCAGACAACATTCTCCTGGCTGCACGTGCTCCATCCTTACTCCTGCATCCTTGTGTAGAAGCGTTTCTGAGTCTCATGCCTCTCGGCAGCTCCACCACCCTCTGTCTCTTCTCCTGGCTGAGTTTTCTCAACCTCCTGGTTCCTCCTCCACATTCTTGAAGCTCCTGACTCATGAGCTTCCTTGCCAGATTCAGTCCTACCATTATCTTGAAGGACTTTGATGCCTATGAGGCTGGCATGTCCAGTATGTGAAACCCCAAAATCTGAGACAGGTCTCAGTTAATTTAGAAAGTTTATTTTGCCAAGGTTGAGGACGTGCCCCCATGGCATAGCCTCAGGAGGTCCTGACGACATGTACCCAATGTGGTCAGAGCACACTTTAGTTTTATACATTTTAGGGAGACAGGAGACATCAATCGACATATGTAAGATGAACATTGGTTTGGTCCAGAAAAGGCAGGACAACTGGAAGTGGGGAGGGGGCTTCCAGGTCATAGGTGGATAAGAGACAAATGTTTGCATTTTCTTGAGTTTCTGATTAGCTTTTCCAAAGGAGGCAATCAGTTATGCATTAATCTCAGTGAGCAGAAGGGTGACTTTGAATAGAATGGGAGGAAGGTTTGCCCCAGCAGTTTCCAGCTTAACTTTTCCCTTTATCTTAGTGATTTTGGGGCCCCAAGATTTATTTTCCTTTCACAAATACTTTCTTCTCCTGTTTCACTAGCTTTCTCAAATCCAGTGATATGCCTTCTTCGACTACCCACTCCCATTACCAAACTATGAATGATGACTCCCTCCTTCCTTTCTTCCCTCTCTCCCTCCCTCCCTCCTTCCATCTCCCTCCCTTCCCCTCCTTCCCTCCCTTCCTTCCCCTCTCTGCCTCCCTCCTTCCCTTCCTTCCCCTCCCTCCCTCCCTGCATCCGTCTCCCTCCCTCTGTCTCCCTCCCTCTATCCCTCCCTCTGTCTCCCTCCCTCTCTCCCTCCCTCCGTCTCCCTCCCTTTCCTCCCTCCTTTCCCTCCCTCCTTTCCTCTTTGTTACTTTTTCTTCCTCTTTTCCTTCTTTTCTTCCATATCTATCAACTATATGCCAGGCCCTACACTGGGCTTTGTGGATTGAATAGTGGTAAAAATAGACTGTCTTAGTCTATTCAAGCTGTTACAACAGAATGCCCTAGACTTGTTGCCTTATAAACAACAAATTTTTTTTTTCTCACAGTTTCAGAGACTGGGAAGTCCAAGATTATGGCGCCAACAGATTCAGTGTCTGGTGAAGGCCTGCTTTCTTGTTCATAGATGGTGCCTTCTAGCTGTGTCCTCACAGGGTGGAAGGGGCAAGGTCTCTTAGGAGGACACTAATCCTGTTCATGAGGGCTCTACTCTCATGACCTAATCACCTCCCCCAAACCCCTAATATCATCACCTTGGGGGTTAAGATTTCAACATATGAATTCGGGGAGGGGGCACAAACATTAGACCATAGCATAGACACAGTCCTGTCCTCAAGAAGCGTTGAGTCTGTTTCATCTCTGACCTCTGCTGATCCGTCTCTGACTACAATTTTTTTCCTTTCAGTTATCTTGCTCCTTTCCTCCTAGGACATCCATACACTGAGCTCAGGTTCTGAGATCTCTCTTGAAGTAAGTACTGCCCTTGGAGTACAAAGAGCATTGTCCCATCTCTTCCCACATTTGGTTAGCACATTCATGCTTCAGTGCATGTAATAATAATACCATTGTTATGAATAGCAGACCCTTGTATAGTGCTTAAAGCATAAGCACTGGCCCAAGAGCTTTATATATTTACATATCATTAAATCCTCATAAAACCCTCTGAAGTAGATATTATTGCTATCCTTATTTTACTGATGAGGAAATTAAGGTAGGAAGAGTTTTAGTAATCTGCCTGAGATCTCACAGCTAGGGAGTGGCAGAGCTGGGATTCAAACTTGGGAAGCTAGACTTTTAGCCCCTGGACTATATTACCTCATGGTATGGTTGGTATTATCTCTGTTTTACTGATGAGTAACCTGCAGCTACTAAGGCCAGGAGGCTTGCTTAAGCTCACACATAATAAGTGGCAAAGCTGAGACCAGAACTCAGGCAACACTCCTTTTTAAAAAGAAAACAGCCTTGGAGTATGTCAATGGCTCAAATTAGTTTCCTGGGATTGATTGCTTTCCTGGCCTCTACCAGGAGCAGGTCTCATTGAGAAAATTGGAATTCGTGAGTAAGGGAATAGGGAAGAGGTGCTTCTCAGGAGGGTTGAGGAAAGGGAGTTGTCTGCAATGTGCGGTTTGAGGCATGGGAAGCCAGTCTTGGGAAGATAAGATGTGGAGAGGCCAAGAAAGAAAATGTGGTGTGCTCAGGGTAGTATTAGCCACAAGCAAATCTTCAGGGTGGGTAGGAGGAGCTACAGGAGTCCTATAAGCCCTCCCCATTCCCTTGCTAAGCAGTTACACCACAGTTGAATAATTCTGATGAAGAAGGCAGGCTTTATCTTTCTCAGGAAGCTTGGAAACACTCAAAACCCATCTTGCATTAAGGGCCTCTGAGGCTTATCCTATTGGAATTAGAAAAATGCATGGGGTCTCCAGCCTGTGAAATCCCAAAGGCGCCTGACTTCTGCTTCCTGGCTCCTCTCCTCGCCTCTGTAATGTGAACTACAATCATCAAACAGTGCTTGGCATTTATCTATCCAGAGAGTTTTCTTCTGTTCCCCCTCCCTCTTTTCAAGGAGCTCAAAGCTATTATTAGAGCTGATGGCAGTAATCAGAAGGTTGTAGTTTGCTTTTTATTTTTATTTGAATCATAAAATTATGCCTGTACCAAAGTTAAGGACAATTGGAAATAATGCCAAAGAATTTGTGAATTAGGGAGAATTTCAGTTTACATCTCCTTGTGATGTCAGTTGAGGATAACGAAGGGCTAGTCAGCAATGGATCCCTCTGTGTTTTACAATCCAGGGTCATGCAGTTTTTGCTAGCATCCACCACAAATGTAATTGCTGTGTATTTCCTTGTGTGACTCCATTTAAAGTCTTTTCTACCTACTAGATTCCAAGTGTGCTGAAGACAGAACCTCTCCCTCTTGTTTACTGCTGTTTTCTAATGTCTGACATGGGGAGCTTGGCCAATAAATTTTTTTTAATATGAATAAATGAATGAAGCCAAATAAAATCCACAGCTGGCGATGCCAGTGGAGTTCCTGCTCCCATTAATTCTCTCTCTCTCCTGGATTTCTGTGCTTGGTGTTGGACATGATTAATAAAGTATTCCAGGAAGAAAGGTGCTTAGATGGGTTTGGAAATTGGCATGCTGGGGTCTTGGCAGCACAGGCTCTACAAGCAGGGGGAGCAAGCTGGGGCCAGGTACGATAGTAGCTGGGGAAGTTGGCCCAGCCCAGAGGCTGGCTCCAGAAAGGACAGCTGGGAAGTCCAGGCATAGGGTCTGCATCCATCTCAGACCCAATTTTGGCAGTAGGGCTTGTTGAAGTAGCCAAACAGATGGGCGGCAATGAGCAATGGGGATAACAGGCAGAGGCTGACCTTGTGAGAACCACGGGGGCTTTGGTGGAAATTAGTGGTGAGTATTCTACTACAGCAGGACAGACAGGTCTGGTACCAGAGAGGAGGAGACCCACAAACACTGGAAATGACATGAGGCCCCTATAAAGGGTCTGAGGTGAGCCCCAGATTTTGAGAGGCATTGGGATATGATGCAGGTCACCCAGACAAACTCGAGTATGTACTCAGGTAGAGCACATCGACTACTAGAAGGGCTGTGGCTTGGGAACCACAAGACTCTCACCTGCCTCATGATTCCAGGATCCAGTTTGTCACAGCAACCTGGTGGTCTTGACTGGGCCTCAGGATCCCAAATTTGCATATAACCTAGATCTAAATTATAGAATCATAGAGAGGGAAAGCATTAGAACTATGTGACTGTCTTCTTTTGGAAACAGCTAAAGCCTGACCCCGAATATGAAGGCCCTACTTTTATTGAACTACGGAGAGCTAGTTCCCATTCATGAGACTAGGGTGAGCTTCAGAGGAGCTGTGATGTGGAGAAGGGGTACTAGGACCTCGTCCAAGAATGATGGGTATGAATTAAAGATATCACAGCTTGGGGTGGGCCCAGAAGACCCTAACACATGCTGGAGGGAACTTCAGAATCTTATTAGGACGATAGTGTCGAATATCACATCTTAAGGGCTGATGCAAGGTTGGAAACTGGAGAATGAATAATGAGAACCAACCTTTCAAAGATAAAAAGCTGCCTGGCTATGAAAAATTGAAGAACAAGTGGTCCATAGCTGAGTCCTTGTACAATCACATAATAAGTTTGCTGCTGCCTGCGACCAAGTGGGTGGAGGCTGAGGAGAGGTGGGAGGGCAAGAGCGCCTTGCTCAGCTGGATAATGGAGAAGGAGTACTCCAGTAGGAAACGATACTCTTACTTTAGAGATATTCTAGTCCCAGCTGCAAATGAGAGCCGTCCCCCTTGTCTGCTGCACACAGGCAAAGCTTTTACTTGTTAACTTCTATGGACACAGGTGTCTGCTACCAGCCAGGGGGCACCAGATTTTACCGGGTACTTGGGAAGAACTAATGGGAATGACCCCTGCTTGCTTTCTCCCACTTTTTCTGTCCCCAAGTAGCATCTAATAGCCTCCCTGAGGCCTTTTCTGGCTAATCTAGTTCTCATTTGGTAATCTCTACTCTTACTACCTGGACTGCTAACCTTTTATATAACACATGCAACCTAGAGGTTGTTCTCACAGGTGCTGACTTCTGTAAGTGATCTGTGTACATGACGGAAACCAATTTCTCCAAGTCCCAGCACATTCTAGCCCCACCCTATGCCCTAAGCTTCTCTCCTCTCACCCTTTCATCAAGCCTTGCCTTGAGCCCATCTCAGAAGCCACTTCAGGTGCTCTCAGCCTCACCTGTCTACCTGTCTTCAGGGCTTTTTGTTCTGGCCCCAGTTGCCCCTGTGGTGATCAACTGTACATGGCAGAGCCTGCTTCATGGCTATGTGGTCAGTGCAGTTGGACAGGGCCCTGGCTTTGAAGCGCTACACGCTTGCTTGAATGCTCTGCCATAGCCGTTTTGAAATTTGTAATCATTTTGAACAAGGGGCCCTGCATTTTCACTTTGCACTGGGCTGTGGCTATTTACACTATATGGATTTTGACCAGCTGCATGCTGGTTCAACCTGACCGTGCCTCTCCTATGTTCAGGGCTGCAAGCCTCTTGCTTCAAGCCCTAGAGTTTCCCTGTTGAAGCTGAAGTGTCAGGCACCTTGAGACTTGAAAGTGTTGTTTTTCTCTACCCACTTCACCCCAGGATGAACTCTTAACCCATGGGTTGTAGGAGTCAAGGGGTAAATTCTTCTTCCCTACTCCTCTCCCACCTCCTGGTAAAGCATCCCAAGATGCATTTGTAGAGGATGGGCCCGCAAGATCGAGGAACTGGTTGTTCCTGATGGTGGCTAGTTCGGTAGCTAGCACACCCCATGTGGTTCCTCCTTCCCCAACTCATTCCCTTTCATGGTCTCTCCTGCTTTGGGGATACACTCTCTGGTAGAGAAGCCGTGCTCATCAGTTGATAACTACATGATTTTTACTGATGTTTGTTAGAGTGAGTCACTGTTGACAAGTCTCAGGGAGACAGGTCCTGTCCATCTTCTCCATAAACAGCCTTTCCCAGCACCATGTAGGTACATTATTACCATAGGCAGCAGTGTGTGCTGTTTAGGAGCCTGGGTCCCCATCCATGATACTCTGCTGGGGTTCAAGTCCTGTCTCTGCTTAGTAGTCACAACTGTATGACTTGGCACTTTAATTTCAGATTCCTCTATAGACTAGAGATGATAACAGTTCCCACGTCAAAGAGTTGTCAACATTAAATAATTCTCATTAAAAATTAGCACAGCGTTTGGCATTTGGGAGGTTTTCATGTGCAGGTTAGCCATTATCATTATTCCCATGTGCTAGGTAAGACCTGTCTTTCAAGGCTGAGACACAAGTCCTAGGCCCCGAGACTGCTGAATCCACAGGTTTTCTGTCTAAAGAAAGGAAATGAGTGAGGTGTAATAAAACATGGGCTTTGGGGATGGACACATGTGACCTCAAAAGCCAGGTCTACCACAAACTGGCACATTGTCTACATTCTCTGTGCCCCGTCTCCTTATGTGGAGAATGGGGAGGATTATGTGTCAGGAGTGTTTTTGGCCAAAAATTCTCCCTGCCAGTCACAAAATTTATTATTTTCAGAGGATACTCAGTAAAAGGTTTGGAATGTCGAGAGACAGACATTTATTATAAAGTGTTTTATTTAAAAAAACTCTTTGTTTTTCATCCAAGATCCTATTAAGTAAAAATCTAATATTATCAGCCCTCTGCTGGTGAAGTCTTCTTCATCTCAGCAGATCTGGGGGCCTCTCCCCACCTTAGGTGGGTGGTGAGAGTGGGGACTAGGATAGGCGGGGCTAAGAAAGTGGGGGGAGGACCAAAGCTTCTCTGATTTTTAGCAGCCCCACCTCTTCCTTTATACCCAAAATGATTGACAGTACAGATTGACAGTTACACTTGGCTTTATCATTTGGGTGCCCTCAGAGGGAGTGCTTCCTTTATTCTGATTTTTTTTCCTCCAAATTGCTTGCTATAACTTATATAAATTATCTTCTTGGAACAAAATGGCTTAAGTGCTCTTAGAATTTACTCGCCTCTTCTATATGTTCAGAAGTAAAAGATGGATCATCATATGCAAATAGCCAAGAAGCTTTCTAGCAGAATATCAGGATTATTCAGAATTTTGGCACAAAAATCTACTTACTAGTTGAGATGGTAGCAGTAATAATAGGAAAAAGAACAAAAAATAATAAAAGCAGGAACTACTCTTTATTAAGCATGTACCTTCATTTTTAAAATTTATTAGGTATGTTGGTCATTACCATTCTTAACAAATAAGAAAACCAACTCGGAAAGGTTAAGTAATTTTCCAGAGAGAGCACAGTATTTAATGGCAAATAGCCAAGCTGGAACTCATATTTGGGTTTTATCTGACAGTTCTCATAAGTTTCCCTCTTATCTATTATACCATTTTGCCTCTCTCGGTTGTCATGGGGATTCAGGAGATGTGGTATATAGCGTCTGACACGTAGTAGAATGATGCTAAATATTAGCTCCCTTCCTCCTTTCTTTCCAAGGTCATTATCATTCAGTCCTACCTTTCCTCCTTTGATACAGACCTTAACTGTCCCAGTTGAAACATCATATTCTGGACCCAGTGTTATGAAATGAATCATTTATTTTCCATTACTATCTTTCCAGAGGGTCTCAAGTTCTGTCTTCTTTCTCTGGCTCACTTTCCCCATGACTGCCAAACTTGCAGTGATAGCCCCATCGTCTTTTGATTGCTGGAGGCTACTGGTCTTGGCGCCTCCATCATTTCTGCTCTGCTGGGCATCAAGGGGAAAGTGACTTCCTTCTCCAGACTTCTGGGCCAGCAAACACACATCTCACGGTGGAGTATTAGGCAGCTTCCAGGGTACCTTGTACACTGTGGTTTTGTGTCCGCCAGCGGTAGTGTTCACGGCTCACCTACATCCATTGTCCTGATATACGCAGTGACCAGAGTGTAAAGTACAATCTCAGAAATTCCAGAAAGAGGAGAGAGGAAGAGTGCTAATGAAAATTACTGTGATGATAATGATAACATTTCTTGAATGCCTGCTATGTGCTATACCACTAGTATTAGTAGTATTAGTTCTACTAATACTGTAGAACTAAATATTTTATTTACATGAGTTGTCTCATCAAATTAATATAACACTATTCAATAGGTGCTTTTATTTCTATTGTGGTCACTCTCAGCACTGAGAAGAGTGCCAGACAAGAAACTCAATCCTTATTTGTTAAATCGTGAATGAGTCTCCCTTTCATTGAAGCCAGAGGGGTTAGGTAACTTACTTAAGGTCATACAGTGAGTGTAGATTTTAACCCAGGGAATCTGAATCCAGAGCGTGTTCTCTGCACCATTATGAACTACTGTCTCCTGTTAATGAGAGGCTAAATGAGAGGTAGGAGGTCTTAGGAGAAGGAGCCCTAAACTTCTAGTCAAGAGCTGAATTCAAGTCCCAGTTTTGCCACTTACTAGTTTTGAGCAAATTTCTTAACTCTCAAAGACAGACACTGTTTATTGGCCAATACCCTACTGCCTAGCTGCCTCCACTACAGAGGGTTGAATTGTGCTCCCCTCCCCTTCAAATTCATATGCTGATGTTCCTCAGGGATGTGAGTTTATTTGGAGAGAGTCTTTGCAGAGGTAATCAAGTTAAGATCAGGTTATTAGCATGAAGCCTATTCCAATATGACTCTTGTCCTTGTGAAAAGGGGAAGGTTGGACACAGAGACATGCAGAAAGAGAAGATGAAGTGAAAAGAAACAGAGAGATGATGACCATCTACAAGCCAAGGAGCAAGGCCTGTAACAGAGGTTTCCTTCGCAGCTCTCAGATCGAAGCAACTCTACTGATATCTTGATCTTGGACTTCCCAGGCTCTAGAGCTGTGCGACAACAAATGTCTGTTGTGTAAGCAACCATGTCTGTGATATTTTGTTGTCTATGGCAGCCCTAGCAAACTAACACAGGCAGGTAAAAGAACCATGGCGGATTGCCTTGCAACTAGGGCCAAAGCTGTGATAGTGTGAGCTGATAAAATATGAGCAAAGAGGATGCTGGGAGGGGTTCTGGGGAAGTCTTGCTTCCTGGGAAGGGAGGCTGTTGTCACTAGTTCATTCATTCCCTGCATCCTGCCTTGACCATGGATGTGATGTCTGGATCATTTTATGATTAAAAGGAAAGTGCAAGAGAATCAGAGACACCAGCCCTGCCGCCATTGCCTGGCCCATCCCTGACTAATTCTAGATAAAAATAAACTCCTCTTTTCTTAAACCACATGGGTCAGGCCAGCTGTTACTTGCAGCTGAACAAATTCCTGATACACTCTCAGAATGAGCTTCTTCTTCTACAGAGTGAGGATGATCAGATTCATGGGGCTGTAGAGCAGATGAAATGAGAATCTACAGAAAATGGTGCTGTGAATGGTAAAACACCATGTAACTGTGAGTTATCATCACAATAAACAAAAACCTCCCCAAAGCTATCATCTCCATTTAGAGCTTGCTCCCAAGCCCTGACTCATAAAGTCCTGTGTTGGTTCTTCCACCAAGGAGCCAGATGGGCTGAAAGACATTTTGTTTCCAGTCGTTTAGCATGATTATTAAGTAACGCTGGAAAGAGGCCTAGAGATCATTTAGTTCAAATGCCTTATTTTATGGATGAGGAAATTGGGGCCCAGAGAGGCTGAGTGACTTGTCCAAGGTCACAGAGCAAGTCTTTGATAGAGTCAGACCTTGAGTCTAGATGTCTTTGGATTTCAGAGCATGGCTACTCCCTACATAAATTAGGCGGACTCTGAGATTCATGTGAGAGTTTGTATTTAAGGGTTGATTGGCTAAAATGATTTTTGGACTTAGGGCCCAGGCAAGGGGAACCCTCCCATTTCCCCTCTTGTCAAAGCAGATGTGATCTCTTCATTTCCAGATCTCTGATCTGACCTCTTCTGAGCACATACATAGTCCCAGCACCAGTGGGGTTTATTTTCTTGTCTTGCTTTCCCTGCCACCATTAATAACACCAGTTACCACTGTTGACCACTTATCATGTGCCGGGCACTTTATAAACATTATCTTAAATACAACTGGAGTTAATGCAATGACGTAGGTACTACTGTCCCCATTTATATATACTGAGAGGAGTTGAGATCAAGCTACTTTCTTTGGATCACCCTATTAGCAAGTGGATGATGGCACCTTTCTCCTGGCCATGTGATAAAGACTTTTCAGTTCAGTTTGATTTAGGTCAATAAGTTTTCAATTCTGGCTGCCTTGCTGTGTGCTGGGGATAAAGTAGTGAACAAGACAGTGCCCATGCTCTCAAGGAGCTAACAGTGAGAGGAGATGCATTAATCAAGAGACTATGGTGCAAGGATTGTGGGTACATGCTCTGCACCCAGACAGGCTGGGCTTGAGTCCTGGCTGTGCCACTTTTTGGCTGTGTGACTTTGGGTACTTTATCTCTGTGTGCTTTGGTTTTTTCACCTGTAAAAGAGGAATAATAATAATACCTCTGTATTAGTTCATTCTCATGCTGCTAATAAAGCCATACCCAAGGCTGGGTAATTTATAAAGGAAAGAGTTTTAATGGACTCACAATTCTACATGGCTGGGAGGCCTCACAATCATGACAGAAGGCAAAGAAGAAGCAAAAGCATGTCTTACATGATGGCAGGCAAAGAGAATGAGAGTCAAGCGAAAGGGGGAAAACCCTTATAAAACCATCAGATCTCATGAGATTTATTCACTACCATGAGAACAGTATGGGGGAACCACCCTTATGATTCAATTATTTCCCACAGAGGCCCTCACACAACACGTGGGAATTATGGGAGCTACAATTCAAGATGAGATTTGGGTGGGGACTCAGCCAAATTATATCAACCTCCTTCATAGATTATTGTGAGGATTAAAGGAGTTGATACATGCCAACTGCTGAGGACTCAATACATTTTAGCTAGTATTATTTTTAGTGTATTCACTCTGCACCTATGTATTCTTCTATACAGTCTCTCTTGCCTCTAAGCATTCATTGCTGGGCCTGTTGGTTTCAGAGTTGGTTTGGTTACCTTGAATGGGTGATGATCTCTACACTCTATTCAACTGGTCTTTATTGGACAACTCTAGGAAGTAAAGCCAATGGAAGTTGTCACCTACTTTTGGTAGAGTACAAGGGGGCTGGTCTTAAAATTCATTGGTCTGTGCTCCTCCAGTGTTGGAGGTGGTGGGATTTGGGTGTGTCTTGGTCCTTCTTTCTACTCATCTCTTCAGCAGGAAAATGAAGGTACTCTGCCCAGTGAATTTATAAGGGCTTCTCTGGCTTGAAGGTCTGATTGTTTGATGTTGTCATTGTAAGACAAGATACACAAAAGACCATCAGAAAAAATATAAGACAAATATATAGTGCTCATATGCATGGTATCAACAACAACAACAATAAAATCCACACAAAAGAGAGTGTGGAGGGTTAGGGATCAGTGTGGGCTGGCGTTTTCAGGAAGCCTCATAATTTCTCTGATAAACTAAGAGGGTAGACTAGATCATCTCTAAGTTTCATTATGCTAGCAAAGTTTCTAGAAGCCCATGATTTTACGAGATCGACCTTATTGCAGTATTAAAAGGCAAGCTGGATGTGGGTTGCTGAAGAGAAGTTGAGGATAGCAAGAGGACAAGAGGTCAGAGAGCAGTCCTGGTCATAGCCTTCTCCAAGCATGTGAAGGAGCAGGCACCACACTTGGTGAGATAAAAAGGCCATGACCTTTTATCATGGTCATGGCAGGACCATGACTTTCAGGATCTCCAGCTTAGGCCAGAGGAAGGCAGGACCTGACTTTCAGGATCTCTGGCTTAGGCTCTGGGGAGGCTGTGATGAGTCTGGAACTTTGATGGGAGGGAAGGCCTGGGAGGGAAGGTAAGTAAGAATTTATGAGCCTCTGTGGGTGAAAAAACCCCATAAACTCAAAGTGTGTTTGTCTATTCTGTTACTCAACACCACAATCAATACAGACAAAAGACTTCTGTGTCCGAATGTGAAGGGTTTCTCCCCACCAACAAATAAGCAATCAATTCTGCAGCAGACACCAGCTGGGTGTCCTCTAAGGACACCCTGTATCTAAGGGTTGATTGGTTAAAATGCTTTTTGGATTTAGGGCCCAGGCAAAACCATCTCATATGCCCTTTTGTCAGAGCAGATGCGATCTCTTCATTTTCAGATCTCTTATCTGACCTCTTCTGTCTACCTGGAAGCAGCGTCAGATCCCACAGGGTGAGGGCTCAGTCCCACAGGACTTCTCCCCTACCCTCCTCCTGCTTCAGACACCAGTCACAAGTCCAGGCCTCCAAACTTCTGACCAACAAGCTTCAAGTTGGGGTTCCCACGACTCCCTCTTTGGGTTCGATTAATTTGCTGGAGTTGCTTGCAGAACTCAGGGAAACAATTATGTACTTGTTTATTATAAAGGATATTACAAAGGATACAGATAGTAGATGCATAGGGTGAGGTATGGGGGAAGGGTGCAGAGCTTGCATGCCCTCTCTGGCGGGCCACCCTCCAGGAACCTCCATGTGTTCAGCTATCCAAAACCTTCCTGAACTTGTCCTCTTGGGCCCTTTGTGGAGACTACTTTGCACAGGCATGATTGAAACATGGACAACCATGTCAAAATATGATTGGGCCTCTCTGCAGCATTCTCCCCTCCAGGGTATGAGGCAGGATCCTCTGTGGAGCGAGGGTCTCAATCAGAAAGGCAGGGGAAGATTGGAGTCTTGCTTTGAGCTGGTGAAAGGTGGGCAGGGGAAGGTCAGAGAGAGAGACAGATTCTGTTTTCTGAGGCCTGCTTCTGAGGCCTAAAGCTCCCCAACATCATAACAAAAAACTGTGAGTTATGAGCCAGGAACTGTGGGCAAAAACCAACATATACATATATCATAATATCGCGGCCTCATTTCTAAATTGGAGCCTCTGTCTTCCAGTGGAGCCAGACCGATGTGGGTTTCAAAGCCTCTTCTTCCAAATTATATCTAGATAGTGGGGGAAATGATTGCAAATCTCTGAGCCTTAATTTCCTATGGAGAAAATGGGGATTAGGCACACCCCATGGTGCTATTGTGAGAATTCAATAAAATATGTTGACCACAGAGTAGATATTTAATAAATAACTGCCTTTGTGACTCATAAAGGCAATTTTGGATGTCATCAGATTTTTTCTGAAGGGTGGGTCACTTGCTTGGTAAGAGTTATTTATTGGGGAAAATGAATGTCTTTACTTACTGAATAATATTAGTTGGATTATTTCCCCTCTCTGTGTCTCAGTTTCTTATTCTGTAAAATGGAGAACAACATTTATATTATAGAATAATTAAAATCCAGTATATCAGTACATATAAGGAGCTTATAACAGTGCCTGGCATAGAGCAAGGGTTCATTATATGGTGACTCATTATTATTCTATTATTATTATCATCATCATCATCTTATTACTATTATTCTTTTTTTTACTTGTCGGCAGAAGAATACAATGAAGTTCCCCAAAACAGTCTCAGATATTAAAAATTCCAGATGTTAGAAGAAACTTTGTCGACTTAGCTTAGACAAGAAATATTTAATAACCTGGGAAGATAGACGGGATGAAAATGTGCAGATTGCTCCTTGTGCAAATTGCTGTAGCTTGGAGCCCTGATGAAAGAAAGGCTCTTGCCTCTAAGAGTTAAATTTGTAAGACTTCTCCTTCCCCTACTTCCCTAAAACCACTCAGCTTAATCTTAGGACACCTGCTACATACTGTCAACTCAGGATGTGGCAGGGCTGCCATTTCACCTGTTGCCATGATCTGAGTCTTGTGAATATTTCTAGGGACTCACACTGAGATCCTCAGTCACAGAAAGACCAACAAGAACCTTAGGGACAGGTAATGTGGTGAAGAGCAGGGCTCGAGGAAATGTGGCCCATCAGCTTGTTCTGTTGTCCTGCTCATTGATTTAAGACAGAGGAAGCTTTCTTTATAGAGATCCTCATGTCAGCATCTCTTGAAAGATACGATCTAGCAACAATCAGTTGGAGTTGAAGGCATGGTCTCACAGTTCCACACGCCCTACCTCTCCTTATTGCCTTTCGTCTTGGCCCACTTACACCCTTGCATGTTACCTGCCTGTACTGCAGGCATTTATATTCTCTCTCTATCTCTCACCATTCCCACAAGAACACCCTGGGCTGAGTCATCCTCCCTGAATGTGGCATACTCCCTGACCCCATTACTGAGGGGCTTGGCCTTGTGATTTGCTTTGGGCAATGGGAAGTTAGTAGATGATGTAAGAAAAGGCTTGAAATGTGCTTTGGCGGTAGAGCTGTCTTGGGGCTTCTCTTGCCCTGAGAAGAGTATCTTGGCCATCATGGCCCAGCTAATTCACAGGTAGGTGCCTAGGAATCCATAATGGAGGTTTTACATTGCTGAGATTGATGGATGTTTATTATGCAGCAGTAGCTGATTAATACACTGGGTTCTAATACAAGATCTGCCTGTAACTCTCTGTGTGAATTTTTTCAAGCCATTTTATTTTTCTGGGCATCAGTTCTACATCCTCCAGTCTTCAAAATGGGCAGAATTAGACACGATTTTCTCAAAGTACCCATTGGTTTGTAATAATCTATTTTTAAAATAAGGACTGAAGTTCTAAGGAATGGATACTGTGAATTTTTCCTCTCCCTACATTCCTTTTGAATTCTATTGTTTGGATGTTGCCTTTAATGTAAATATATTTAATTTGATAATTTATTCCACATGCAAGAAGTTAAGAGGAAAGAGGAGAAGAAAGAACTAACATATATTAAGCACCAGCTTTGGATTAGATGTTTTACAAGTGACATGTACTTTAATCCTCAGCACATTCCTATGGTAGGTTTGATTATTCTTGTTTTATAGATAAGAGGCTCAGAGAGGTCACGGGACCCACCTAAGTCCATCCAGCTAGTAAATTGCATGCTGAGATTTAGACCTAGGTCTATTTGTTTGCGATAATCTTCTGTAATAACCTAAAATTGTACTTCTTACTTATCCTTCTGTTTATTTTCTTTTGTCACAGAAAGTGCTCCCGGTGCCTGTGGTCCATAGAGTGGAGTGAGTCTCTAAGCAAATCTGGAGGGACTCTGGGAGCTGAAGATTCAGAATATCTCCACTTATTCTTGCCATAGCCTTTGCTGCTCAACTGTTGGGTGCCATGATGGTATGAGCTGTTCCCTTCCTCAGCCTTTCCTGGCTCCTTCCATGAGCCAACTGATCTGTGGCAGCATTTTAACAGCCTTGGTCCCTCTATTTGTAGAGGTGTTAGCATGAGTCACACAAGGATCTGGAAGCTTTGAAGGAGACTGATACCACAATGCAGGAACTCTATAAGGATTCCAGGGAGGTAACACACACCAAGGGATTGGCACTTAAGATATCACTCTCCCTCTTCTTTTTCTCAATCAATGAGATTTGTAGACATTATCTCATTTTAAATATTTATATATATTGATACGGCACAATGGCTCTATGAGGTTGATATTATCATCCCCTGCCCTCTTTTCTCTAATAATGCATCTGAGCATCAGACTGTAAGTCAATGATTTGAACCCAATTCTTCTTGGCTTCAAAGCCTTGGTGCACAATCACTCCATTGGACCACTAGGTACCTGCAAGTCTCTGCTTTGGACTTCTCCTGAGCTTCAAAACTCAGGTATTATTAGAGCACCATAAGTGATAGATTTTCAGGTGTATGCATGTGTTTCTACCCAGCAGTGCAATTAATGAGCTCTTGAGGGTATGTGTGTAGAAGACATGTTCTTTACTCCCTAGGAACTATGTAGAAAGTCACCAGGACACCAAATTTCAATGTCTTTGCAAAGGACTAGGCCACAACCTCATTGGAGATTTTTTTTTCATTTTTTTTCTTATGCTCACATTCATGCTATGATTTATTTATTTATTATTTATTTATTTATTTATTTATTTATTTATTTATTTATTTGAGACAGAGTCTCACTCTGTCACCCAGGCTGGAGTGTAGTGGCATGATCTCAGCTCACTGCAACCTCCGCCTCCCGGGTTCAAGCGATTCTTCTGCCTCAGCCTGCTGAGTAGCTGGGACTACAGGTGTGTGCCATCTCACCTGGCTAATTTTTGTATTTTTATTAGAGATGGGGTTTCATCATATTGGCCAGGCTGGTCTTGAACTCCTGACCTCATAATCCACCCACCTCGGCCTCTCAAAATGCTGGGATTACAGGCGTGAGCCACTGTGCCCGGCCCATGCTATGTTTTATAGTTTGAACAGCTCCTTTGTAGCCATCATTTCATCTGATTTTCCTTACCACTGATAGGACAGACAGGGAGACATCATTTTCACTTTTCAAGGGAGGAAATTGACACCCAAAGAGGCAGAATGACTTGCCTGGGTTTGCACAGCTGCTTTTGAGAAATACTGCAAATGAGATCCAAATCTCCCAGCCCATCTAGAGCTCTCCTCCAGAGCAAAGAGCAACTCCAAATCAGGGTTAAGAAGGAAAACTCTGGTAAAAGGATATATTTTCTTTTTCTTTACTCATTTCTCTCAAATTTCCCAAGGATTTCTCTTCATTTTCTCTTCCAAACCCCTCATTTTATTTAAAGGAGCAGCATGGCTCACTGGCTGGGTAAGAGCCTGGAGACCGAGAACCTGAAGACCAGGGTTATGATGGTGATAATTATGGTGATGATGATGGTTACTTTGTTACCTTATATAAAGCCCAGATCTCCTCCAGAGTTCAGTTTTTCATGAGGAAAATGAGGTCAATAACAAAGAATACTCATCAGTGTGCTTTGAGATTATACACCAATGTTGAGTGCTAGAGGCTGAAACTGGCCTAAAGAGGTTTAGATTGAGACAAACGAATGGAAGAACAGAAGAGGAAGCACCCTGCTCTCTGTGCCTATAACCTCTTTATGTAATAAGAGCTCACATTTACTAAGTGCTATGTATGTTTCAGTTTTAGATTCCAATTGTTCATTGCTGCTTTATAGGAAAGCAATTGACTTTTGTATATTAACTTTGTATTCTGCAATTATGCTATAATTACCTACTAGTTCCAGGAACTTTTCTGTTGATTCTTTGGAATTTTCTACATAGGCAATCATGTTATCTGTACATATAATACATATAAACAAAGTGCTTTATATTTAATCTTCATTAATAATGCTAAGAGGTTGGCTTAATTATTTTATAGATGAGGTCACTGAAATACAGAGAAGTTCGTAATTCAACCAAGTCTGTGCAGCTAAAAGGTGGCAGAACTGCAAGTTGAACCTGGCAGTCTGTTTCCAAGCTCATGCTCTTGACCCACAAGACATTGCTTTGCAGGATTCACATTTGCCACCATCTCACAGGTATAAGGGGACATGATATCTAAGTTTAACTAATAGGCCCAATACTTCACCCTTCCCTGGATCTGTGCCTCTGCAATGTAACTTAGCAGGGCTCTCACCCTATAGGTAGGCATGCTTCTCCACCCTTTGATTTGGGGCTCTGTCATGTGACTCACTTTGGCTAATAGAAAAAGACAAAGTGATGGTGTGCCAGCCCTGAGTCCAAGCCTCAAGAGCACTTGCTTGTCTCTTTCTGCTCCTTTGTGCTGCTGCCTTTGCTAGGAGAAAAACATGCCTGGGCTAGCCTGCTGGCCCCCAAAGGTAGGAGGATGAGAGAGATCATCCTCTGTGGATGTAGAGCTGAGCTATATCCCAGCTAGGTTGCTTCCACCAGGACATTCTAGAGTCAGGCCTAGAGTGGATCCACCACTCCCCCTACCTCCACTGGCCACAGATGGATGAGGGACCCCAGCTGAGGTCAGCCAAACTCCAGCTGATCCCCCAGACCAGTGACAAATAGATGTTCAGGTTTTGTGGTGGACTTTTCCTCAGCAATAGCTAACTGATACTCGTGGCAACTGTGAAAAGAGCAGAGTTTTTGAATCAAACATGCTTTTAAATCACACTTTTACCAGTTATTAATTGTGCAATCCTGAACAAGTTACTCAAACTCTTTGAACTTCAATATTCTCATCACAATGGGGATAATAACATCTACTACTAGAGACATTGTATTAATGGGATAAGCAGAAGCATTGACTATGGTGTCTGGCACGGACTGTGTGCTTAATAACCATGGGTTGTCCTCATTTTCCCAATTGCTCTTATCATTCTACATTTAGTGCTTATCATTAAGCATTTCATGTATATCCATGTTCACAGGCTGTGGGATGGGCTCTGTGCACAGTGAATGAGGTTAATGGTCACTATCAAGGTCACATGGAGCTTGGTGGCAGTGGCCCAGAGAGGAACTATGTCTGGAAAGTCTTGATAAGAGGGGCTAGGAAAGGATCTGGCCAGGCAGACCCTGGGGCCAAAGCAGAGAGCACTCTAGGGCCATGGCAAGACTCAAGTTTCTCTGGATACTGGGGCATGGACCTGCATTTTGGGCAGAGATTTAGATGATTTGGGAGAAAAGACAATCATTGGAACTGGAGTATCAACTCTGTATCACAATCTATTGTCACAATAATGCCATGTGACAAATCACCTTACAACTGTGGTTGAAAACAAGAAACATTATCAGCCATGAATCTGTTGGTCACCTGGGAGGTTCTTCTGCTTTTAGATGGGCTCATGTAGTTTCTGCAGTCATCTATGGGCTTGGTAGGAAGTCTGTGGATCTTGGAAGGGCTCTCTCTCTGCATAGTGGGCTGTAGGCTGTCTTCTCATCCTGCAGCAGGCTAGTTTGGGTGTGGTCCCATGCTACCTGGGCATGTTCTCATGATGGCAGAGGTGTGAGAGTGGGGGACAGAGAGAGAGAGAAAGAGAGAGAGAACAGAAGTGGACAAATCCTCTTTAGGCCTATGCTTCTATCACATTCTATTTGCCAAAGCAATTCACACAGCCAGCCCAGATTCAAGGAGGTAAGAAAAATGGACACCATCTTTAGATGTGTGTGTGTGTGTGTGTGTGTGTGTGTGTGTGTGTGTGTGTGTGTGTGTGGTCGGGTGGTGGGGAGTTCAATATCCCATTTGAAAGGGCATAGATACAGGAAGGCCTTTAATTGGGGGCATCGCTACAATCAATCTACCATAGCTCATACCTGGAATGGCCCAGTTACTAGGTGTAGGGATCGAGGTCACAACATGAATAGCAGCCAGAATCATTGATTTTGGGTCACCAACCGCTGGCCTAGGCTGTTAAATTTCCCCTGATCAGGTCTAGGATTGCGATAGAGCTGGTAGAAGATAGACGTTCTGAGTTGAAGGCATTGGGCAATGTGGGGGTTGGAGCCAGGCATATTTATGTCCAAGTAGAGCAGGAAACACAAGGAAATAAAGTGTTAGCAATGCGTGTAGGCAGCCGGGGGACAGCTCTTGTGTGATGAGAATTGTTTGCCAGCAAAACTGTATGGTGGGATATGGAATAGCATTATAAACCCCCTTACCCCACCCTGCCAATTAACTTCCAACAGAATCTATGTGCGAAGTAGGTTTCCTTTTGAGAATATGAAAGTAATACATGAGAAATAAGAAAAATTGGTCTAAGTCAGAAACATTGAAAAACAAAATAAAACAAATCATTCAGTTTAATCAGCCAAAGACAATCACTGTTAACACCGAAATACATTTCTCTAACCACCTTTTTTCTCCTGCATACATATATGTTTATATATATTACACCCAGTATAAATAAGCATTTAAAAAACCACAGTCTTTAAGGAGATTTGCTTTTATGTTGTTTGTTTTTGTGGCTTTAGAGAATATAATCTTGACTACAATAATTTCAAGTATCCACATATATGTATCTAGAATAAGAAAGGTTTTGCTTTTTTTTTTTTTTTTTAGATGGAGTCTTGCTCTGTTGCCAGGCTGGAGTGCAGTGGCGCAATCTCAGCTCACCGCAAACTCCGCCTCCTGGGTTCAAGTGATTCTTCTGCCTCAGCCTCCTGAGTAGCTGGGATTACAGGTGCGTACCACCACACCCAACTAATTTTTATATTTTTGGTAGAGACGGGGTTTCACCTTGTTGGCCTCGATCTCCTGACCTCGTGATCTGCCCACCTTGGCCTCCCAAAGTGCTGGGATTACAGGCATGAGCCACTGTGCCCTGCCTTGCTTTCTATTTTTAAAGGTAAAAATAACAGAATGACTTAAACCAAAATTCTTCCAGAATAGGAGATATACAAAATTTAGTCATAACATCCACAGCATAAACAAACACCAAATAGAGGATTCCATTATTGATCTCCAGCTCCCCACACTAAGGAACTGGTGTGAGCTCTTGGCCAGTGAGATTGGCAGACCTATCCAAATTCAGGTCTGGGTGGCATCTGTGTCTTTGAGGATATGCTATGTGGACTCTCCTGAGAGTTCCACATTGCTCAGTGTGGAAGATTGGAGTATTGGAAGATCTGGCTCTTGTTTTCAGACCTTCTAACTGGCATGAGTTCATTGAGAGTCATCACTTAGGCACTTGCTCCAAGTTTGCTTTAAGAGTTAGATCTTTATCAGCTGGTTTCCATGGACAATATTGCTTCCTTCAATGTATCTCTAATGTGCCATCCCTCTGAGTTTCCTGTTGTTGAGAGTGTTTGTGTGTCTGTGCCGCTAGGTTTATGTTTATGTCTCCTTCTCAGTCTCTGTCTCTTTTCATGCCCTGGGGAAGCTTGTATTCTCTGTGTTGGGTCTGGGTGGCAGAAGGGGAAGACAAGCTGTATCAGTAGAATGGGCACTTAAAACCCAAGTGCAAGAGCCACTTTCAGTTTGGGTTTCAACAGCACATTAACCCATTCCTTTTAAACAGTCCCAGTGCTTCCTGCATATCACCAATAAACACCTCCCCAGATGCAGTAATGGAGCATGAAACATTCCTCCTACTCATTTCCCAGCCTTTGTCATAAGATGACAAAGGCATACTTTTCTTGTATAGTTGTGTTCATATTGCCCGTAAGTCTTGAAATCCTATTTCATGTAACATTACTTTAGCAGTATTTCTCTGAGCTCTTATATATTCTAAGAAAGTGCCCTTTGTGATGGTTAAATAATATTCCACTGCATGAACCACTTAAAAATATTAATTCCCTTATAACTGAACATTTAGCTTGCTCTTAATATAGCTAGTATATATAGTGAACACGTACACATACAGCTTTTATCTTTCTTTCCGAATTTAGGATCATTTCCTTGGGATAGATTTCCAGAAACAGGATTATTCAGAACAATAAATGCATGGCCATTTAAAAAAGACTTCTGAAACAGTCTTCTAAATTACTCTTCCAAAGGTTGTACCAATTGAACCTCCCACTGGCGATGGATCAGAGTGACGGTTCACTGCCAAGAGGTAGCGTTTCCAGTAGTTACTTTGAACAATGGAAGAGAGTAAGCCCAGGGAGCTTCAAAGCTGTTTCAGATAAAAGGCATGATTTGAAAAGGCAGATAGTTGGCAGACCTTGTAGCCGGGGGTGTTTAGCTGGGGAAGCATAATGCCAAAAAGCCAGGGAACGAATTTTATGGATTTCACAGGATTTCAGGTGTTCTACTCTCCCAGCTTCAACATGGTTTCCCCGGAACTCCTTGGCCATCAATGCCCAACTCAATTGCCCCCTCCTCTGCAAAGCCTTCCTTGGCCCCCGAGTGGACTTGAGGGAGGAATTCTTCTTTTGTGCTCCCTTAGACTCTGAATGTTATAGTACTTACGACACAGTACCACATCTGTACTTGAGTTCTCAGTAGCCCAGGAGCCTACTTTAGGCAGGGACCGAAGTACACTAATTTCTTTGTCTTTTACAAATTTCACTTTACTGCCTTGCTCATGGTAGAAGTTCCTAGAGATTTGTTGATAGGATGGATGGACCAAATGGGCTCTCTGTCAGCTTGACATGCTCCATCCAAGTAGCTGCCCTGACCTTCCCTCACACATAGATTTTCCATCTCCAAGGCAGTGACCTTGCAATCCAGTTGAACATTGCTGCTCATGTCTTGCTTGACTGCTGGTCTCTGTGTCCTCTCTCTCCTTACACTTACCTGCAAGCTTATGCAAGTTCCTGACCCCATCCTCATTGATACCCTATTCTGTTGACCTCTTCCCTTTCTCTATAGCCCTGTTCCTACATCCTGTACCACCCTGGCTCCCAGTGTCTGCTCTATTACAGAGGGTTAAAGACTACACCCCAGGCTCTGGGGCATATTCTGATTGATTAAGTTGCTCACACAATAAATATTTTCTTAGCACTTACTACGTGCCGGGTATTATTCTAGGGACTGTATTGATCTAGAGAAATAGTAGATAGCAAGACAGGTAAAATCCCTGCTCCCATAGAGCTCACCTTCTACTTGGGGGCACAGTGAAAAAGTAAACAAACAAACAGGAACATTCCTATTAGTTTTCAGTGCCATGAAGTGGGGGGCGGAGGGCGAGAGAAAGTGGAATTGGATGCTTCCCCAGCATGGGTGGCTAGGGAAGGTCTTCCATTTGAGCTGAGGCTTGAATGACAAAAAGGAACCATCTAGGGGGAAAAAACTGGAAATCAGAAAGTTCTAAGCAGATGGATCAGCCAATGCAAAGGGCCACAGAGTGCTAATAGCCTAGTGTGTTTGGGAAATGCAAAAAAAAAGAATATGCAGCTAAATTATGGTACAAGAGAGGAAACGTGTTGAAGGATGAAGTCAGCAGAGCCCAGATGATTGAGGCCGTCATGGGCTAAAGGAAGAAGCATCAATTTTATTCCAAGGGTGACAGAAAGCCAGTGTAGAGTTTTAAGTAGAAGAAGTTGTGATTAGATTTACACTAAAAAATACATCCACCTGCTTGCTGTTCAGAAAGTGGGTTGTGGAGAGAAGGGGAAGCTCTGGGGAGACCAGTAAGCAGGGTCTGACCAGTTACCCAGGCAAGAGGTGATGGTGGCGGTAGCAGAGATAGAGAGAAGTAGCTGGGTGTAGGTTAGGCTTTGGCAGTGGAAATTCTGGGGATGAGGGCAAAAGATAACTCTAGGGTGGTTCTAAGGTGTTTGCCTACATGACTAGTTGAATGGTGGTTCCTTGAAAAACACCAGGGAAGGACTAAGGATTTTTTTTTCCCCAGCAGAATGTTGGGAAGGAGCCAAGAACCAATAATTCTTCCTTGGGTGCCAGACCCTCCAGGTCTGGCCCTCTGACTTGGTCTTTCCAGACTGGTCTGGAGACTTGGGTCTCATGTTTGAATCCCAGCCAGTGAGGACTTGGAGGGGTACATTCCCAGATGCGTGTTCTGCTGGTGCACTCTGTCCTTCCTGACCCCATCCTCACTGATACCCGATTCTGTTGACCTCTTCCCTTTCTCTATAGCTCTGTTCCCATGCTCTGTACCACCCTGGCTCCCAGTGTCTGCTTCACTATAAAGAGTAAAGTTTATAGCATCACCATGCAGGTATGAGCCATAGCTGACCAGGTCTTTAGCTAGAAATAGTGGCTAGCACCTATATGGTATTTATTATATACCAGGCACATATCTTGGCTCAGTCTGCACAACAGTCCTATTCAGTTGCTACTGTTATTATCCCCATTGTACAGATGGGGAAATTGAGGCACAGAGTGTTCATATAACTTGGCTGTGGTCCTACAGATGCCAGGTATCAGAGTTGGGAGATGAACCCAAGGTATCTGGATCTGCAGCCTATGTGCTAAACTGCTAAGCTCTGCAGAATCATAAGTAAGATGGCATCAGTCTCTCCCCTGGTACATTGGCTAGCCCAACATGCTGAGGGCTCACTAATATTGCAACTTTTGATTCTAGGTCACTGTATTTACTTTGCCTTCTCCAACACTGTTGCATCAGAGAATGAAAGGAAGGTTGAATTCAAGGTATAGAGGTGTCAAGAGAGAAGCAGATCACGAATGAACCATCCCTACTGAGGCATTTGTTCATTGAAAATAGATTAGTTGAATGCAATCCCATGCTTGGCATGTGTGACAGTAATGGGCAAGACAATATGTCTCCTGCTTTCATGGAATATATGTTCTCCTTCCCAGTATTGCATCTTCCACAGCATGTGTAAGTACCCCCATCCTTTTCTGTCCCTTTACCTCAACCCAGGCTCTGGGAAGTCCTTGTTCATGACTTCTACTCAATTCTGTAATGCTTATTACCCTTCCTGGCTGTGCACACTCTGTTCTACTCTCAGCCTTTGTTCTAGGGATTTTTTTCTAGTCTCTTCTGTTCTACCCAAAGTCAAGAACATGCCTTATCTCAGCTACCCCTTACCTGCAGCATGGGCTGCTTCCAGGTTTCTGTAATGACAAACATCTTCTGAAATTGAGCAGAGAAGCAGAGAAAGGTAGCTGGGGCCGCTTTCTAAAATTATGAACCTGTGAAGGCCAGGGACTCTGTAACCCAGTGAGCAGGCCACCATAAATGGATGAACAAATTAGGATGAAGGGACCATTAGGATTGGAGAACCAAGGAAAGCTAAGATTAGTATGTAAAATGCCTGCTACAAGCTCCTATACAATTGTTAGAAATGGGTTGAATATTGGTTTTGAGCTCCCTGGCAGCCAAAATAAAAAAGAAAACCAAAATTAGCTTGTATGATATTCATGGCTCATTGTTTGCAAACAAAATAATTTGTCAGTAAAATACTAGATTTACTAGATTTTTCTTGTATAGAGAACAGAAAGAAATGCCTCCCTTGTGTACTCATCAAGAGACCCCTGTCTGATATAGTTGGAAATATCCCAAACAAAACTTGCTGTATTAAAATGTCCTTGCTTTGCTAAGTCATTTTGTATTCATGGAAGTAGCCTTGGGAATGGCTATTGCTTCAAGGTCAGACACTACTTTTCTGTTCCCCGCTGTCCTCCCATGGCAGGTAGAGCAATCTTCTATGTGCAGTAGGTTCCCCGTCTGTGCTTTTACCTGATTTACTCTTAATTAGGTATCTGTTGGATCCCAGAGCCCTGTATCTCATACTCCATTGTATCTAAGAAACATCCTATGACTTTAAAAATTGCTGATATATAACTGAGAGGCAAAATAATTAGTAAGGAAAATCGAAACAATTCTTCCTAAATTTATGGGCATTCTTACAGAGATATCTTTTAGGGAGTAAGAATTACCATAAATCCCCAGGGTGAACAATAGCACTAAAAGCAAAGAAGCCAAGAGTCAGCAAAAATCTTTGGTAGTACACACACTTTGTTTTTTTGGAAGACAAAAGGAACTGCCATCAAGTTGATTTTAATGGATCAGCTACTTGCCCCCTCCCCTTCAGCCTCTTCCCATGCCCCATCCTGCTACTTGTGGAATTGGAGGTGGAATCTTCCTGGGGGTGTCCAAAGAGTGACAACATCCCTATAGATTACTTCCAGCTGCTTGCAAAGAGAACATGATTGGAAAGGAGGTGCTTTCTTTGTCAGGATTACAGCACCAGTGATGCACAAACAAGCCAGACCCAGGTTGATTGTTGGGGGGACTCTTGTCTCCCACTGCATGCAGAAGAGCATGCATTGGTGTAATACACAGGCATCTCTCCCTCACACGTCCATCACTCCTTCTCTGGGGGAGCAGAGACTTACTTGATTGGTTAGTTTGGGAGAAGGAACTAGGCATCCCTGGCGTGGCCACTTTCTGTTTTTCTCTTGATTCCTTCCTGCCTGCAGAAAGCACAACTCTACTCCTGAATGCTGTAGGAGTAGAGTTGTTTTCATGTTTTCAATTTTTTCTTTCTGGGGCAGGCTCCATGGGGAAGCCAGCAGGCTTTCAGCACTCTGTGTGACCAGGTAGAGAAGTCTGCCCAGTTCTAATGTGCAATACTAGGAAACCCATTGCTGCTACTCATTTAAGTCTTGTTCTCCAACAACTGTTGTCTGTGGGGAAGGGAACTTCTAAAATCCCAACTGCCTGAACCTTTTGCTTATTTCTAAGTTGGTCTTGCACCAGGGCAGGAAAGAGGTGTCCAGTATTGAGACCTCTAAAACTCCAGCACTGAGTGTGATCAGGAAGCTGCACAGATGTGGCTTAAGTAAGCAGGCCATGGGCACACAGACTGAGGGTGGCTAGTGGGTCTTCTCAAAGTGTCACAGATTGTAAGAGAGAGGCTACCACAAACTGAGAAGAAGAAAGCAGGTGGTTAGTATTGGTGGAAGCCCAATTCTCTAGGTGAAAATTTAGGAGCAAGGAGGACTAGAGACAGAGAGGGAACTTGTAATAGACAAGTATATTTTTGCCTGTTGAGCCTATATATTTTCTTCTTTGGGTAACCACACCCAATTTCCTTTGGGAAGCAACTAGTCTTTTAGAGAATATGGAGTTCTTACTACCTTTCTCCAGGGGAGGGTATCTAGCCAGTTAATTTCAATTCTGGAACATTTATAGAACTATTGGGAAGAATAAGTTATTTGCCTTGGCACAAGTAGTCTGGGAATATGCAGTCTGAAGTCACCAATGACCATCTGGCCACCAAAAGGGAGCACGGCTGAGGCTGTATCAATATGAAACCAACGTGGAGGAAAGCAGAGTTAGAAGTGGGTACAATACCTGTATCCAGGTATGCCAGGAACTGTCTATTGGACTTCTTAATTGAGAGATACATTCCCTTTTGCTTAAACCACTTGCTATGGTCTGAATGTTTGCCTCCCCCCAAAATTCATTTGTTGAAATTCAGATCCCCAAGGGAACTGTATTAGTCCCTTTCCATACTGCTATAAAGAACTTCCTGAGACTGGGTAATTTAAGGGAAAGAGGTTTAATTGATTCACAGTTCAGCATGGCTGGGGAGACCTCAGGAAACTTACAATCATGGCAGAAGGTGAAGGGGAAGCAAGGCACGTTTTTCACAAGGCAGCAGGAAGGAGAAGTGCTAAGTGAAGGGGGAAGAGCCCCTTATAAAATCATCAGATCTTGTGAGAGAACTCACTCACTATCATGAGAACAGCATGGGGAAAACCACCCCGTGATTCAATTATCTCCACCTGGTCTCTCCCTTGACACATGGGGATTTTGGGGATTATGATGATTACAATTGAAGATGAAATTTGGGTGGGGACACAAAACCTAACCATATCATTCCACCCCTGGCCCCTCTAAAATCTCATGTCCCTTTCACATTTCAAAACCAATCGTGCCTTTCCAACAGTTCCTCAAATCTTAATTCATTCCAGCATTAAGCCAAAATTCCAAGTCCAAAATCTCATCTGAGACAAGGCAAGTACCTTCTGCTTATGAGCCTGTCAAATCAAAAGCAATTTAATTACTTCCTAGATACAATGCAGGTGTAGGCATTGGGTAAATACATCCATTCCAAATAAGAGAAATTGACCAAAACATTGGGACCACAAGCCCCATGCATATCTGAAATCCAGTGGGGCAGTCAAATCTTAAAGCTCTGAAATGATCTCCTTTGACACCATGTCTCACATCCAGGTCACACTGATGTGAGAGGTGGGTTCCCATGGTCTTGGGAAACTCTGCTCCTGTGGCTTTGCAGGGTACAGCCCCACTCCTGGCTGCTTTCATGGGCTGGCATTGAGTGCCTGTGGCTTTTCCAGGTGCATGGTGCAAGCTGTTGGTGGATCTACCATTCTGGGGTCTGGAGGACAGTGGCCCTCATCTCACAGCTCTACTAGGCAGGGCCCCACTGGGGATGCTGTGTGGGGGCTCTGAGCCCACATTTCCCTTCCACACTACCTTAGCAGAGGTTCTCTATGAGGGCTCCACCCCTGCAGCAAACATCTGCCTGGACATCCAGGTGTTTTCATACGTCCTCTGAAATCTAGGTGGAAGTTCCCAAACCTCAATTCTTGACTTCTGTGCACCCACAGGACCAATACTACATGGAAGCTGTCAAGACTTGGGGCTTGCACCCTCTGAAGCAATGGCTTGAGCTGTATGTTGGCCCCTTTCAGCCATGGCTGGGACACAAGGCACCAACTCCCGAGACTGCACAAGGCAGCAAGGTCCTGAGCCCTGGCCAGAAAACAACGTTTTCCCCCTAGGCCTTCAGGCCTGTGATGAGAGGGGCTGCCATAAAGACCTCTGACATGCCCTGGAAACACAGTTCCCATTGTTTTGGTAATTAACATTTGGTTCCTGATTACTTATGCAAATTTCTGAAGCTGGCTTGAATTTCTCCTCAGAAAATGTTTTTTTCTTTTCTATTGTATTGTCAGGCTGCAAATTTTCCAAACTTTTGTGCTCTGCTTGCCTTTTAAACATAAGTTCCAATTCCAAACCATCTCTTTTGGAATGCATAAAACTGAATGCTTTTAAGAGCACCCAAGTCACCTTTTGAACATTTTGCTGCTTATAAATTTCTTCTGCCAGATACCCTAAATTATCTGTCTCAAGTTTAAATTTCCAGAGATCTCTAAGGCAGGGTCAAAATGCTGCCAGTCTCTTTGCTAAAGCATAGCAATAATCACCTGTATTCCAGTTATCAAGAAGTTCCTAATCTTTGTCTGAGACCACCTCAGCCTGGACTTCATCATCCATTTCACTACCAGCATTTTGGTCAAAGGAATTCAACAAGTTGCTAGGAAGTTACAAACTTTCTCACTGTTCCAACCTCTGCCTGTTACCCAGTTTCAAAGTTGCTTCAACATTTTTGGGTATCTTTATAGCAGCACCCGACTCTCTGTGGTACTAATTTACTGTATTAGTCTGTTTACATACTGCTATAAAGAACTGCCTAAGACTAGGTAATTTATAAAGGAAAGAGGTTTAATTGACTCACAGTTCAGCATGGCTGGGGAGGCCTCAGGAAACTTACAATCATGGTGGAAGGTGAAAGGGAAGCAAGGCACCTTCCTCACAAGGTGACAGGAAAAAGAAGTGCCAAGTGAAGGGAAAAGAGTCTCATAAAACCATCAGATATTGTGAGAACTCACTCAGTATCATGAGAACAGCATGGGGGAAACTTTCTCCATGATTCAGTTACCTTCCCTTGGTCTCTCCCTTGACACGTGGACATTATGGGGATTATGGGGCTTACAATTCAAGATGAGATTTGGGTGGGGACACAAAGCCTAACCATATCAGTGATGGTATCAAAAGGTGAAGTCTTTGGTAAATGATTAGGTCATGAGATTACAGCCCTCATAAATAGAATTAGTGCTCTTAAAAGAGACACCAGAGAGCTGACTAGTCTCTTCCACCATGTGAGGACACAGTGAGGAGGCACCATCTATGAGCCAGGAAGAAAGTCCTCACCAGACACCAACTATTCTTCTGTCTTTACCTTGGACTTCCCAGAACTGTAAAAAATAAATTTCTGTGGTCTATAAGCCACCCAGTCGATGGTATTTTGTTATTAACAACCTGAATGGATGGATTAAGACACCAGTTTAAATCATTTTTTTCCACCAAAAACTAAAATAGTTAAAATAAATGAAGAAATTAAATAAGAGCTATGCTTGTTTGGAAGGAGATAGAATCCATACATTTATTCTTTCTCTCAATTGCACCATTATTCACTGAACAGTTGCCATAAGCCAGGCTGTGTGCTGGGCCCTGGCAGTACAGAGATGAACAAAGCACCATTCTTGCCCTTAGAAGCTCACAGACTAGCTAGAGGGACAGACAGATGAGCAGGGAACCATAGAGTGATATGGTATGTGAGATAGGAGAGGCACATGGATCAGGGGGCATGGTGGCTCAGCCATTCCTGGGAGGGATCAGTGAATTGAGACTTACACATGAGCAGGATGTAGGAAAGCCGAGAAAAATAAAGTGTCATCTATGATGATACAGAGAAAGGAGAGGTCAGGGTGTGGTACCTAATAATGATGATGAGGATAATAAGTGTAATATTTAGTTAATATTTATTGAGTGCTTATCATACACTCTGCCCTGGTCCAAGTTCTTTGTATATATAATGTCATTTGATCCTCATGGTGATTCCATGAGGTAGATACCTATTTTACTGGTAAGAAGGGGTTAGGGAAGTTGACAGAAACCACATAGCAGGCCAGGGCTGCTGGGATATATGACAAAAACATATAGAGTGTTGATAGATGAAACTCTTGAGAATTTGTGTTGGGTTTGGATTGTGAGAGATTTTAAATACAACACAAGGGGCTCAATTAGAGGACAGAAAGTACATTGTTGTTTACTGAGTGCCTACTATATCCCAGTTATATATCTGATCTGATCAAATTTTTACAACTCCCCTATTGGATAAGCATTATTAGCCACATTCTTACTAAAACAACTCAGACATATTTTTATTTTCCTAAATCACTCTACTAGTAAGTGGCAAAAAGTAAAAAAAGCTGGCTCCTGAACACATTTTTTAACTGCTATATTATTGCCCATTTCCTCTTTCTGATAAATATTTTTAATCCTTTTCCCCCCCTTCTGATCAACTGATAAAAAGCTATCATTTCTCTCTGCAGAAACATACATGGAACTATATACCAACAAACTTTTGCTTGTAATTTATTTTATTGCATGGGAATTTCATTTTTTTCATATGGACAGACCATACAAACAAGTCTTACAAAAAATTATTTGTCTCATTTCCTGCCTTCCTCCACAAAATATTACTGCTTTCTTCCTTAAAAAAGCAATAAATCCAAATTTTGCAAATGAATGAAAAATGTAAATTGAAATTCTGCTGAAAAGTAACATTTCAGTGAGGAGCCTGCTGTTGTTTGACTTAAAAAAGAAATAGAAATGTTGGAGCTGTCTTTGCATGACAGCATCATTTCAGCAATCTAATCATTTCAACATTGTTTTTTTGGCAACAAGTCCCCAAACTGTGACTCAGAAAGGTAAGTAACAAACCCCATTATTGTTTCCAGAACTCACTTTGCCACACAAGGTCAGATGTGTGTCAAGGAGGCCCAGAATCCTCTAAGATTCTTTGAGTTTAATTTATTTTGTATAATCCCCTTTGTCCTAGAGTTAATGAGGTTGGCTCTGCATTCTTGATGCCATCTGTGTCAGCAAGGTAAGGATTATGAATCCAGTTCAATCGTAAGGCTGTCTACACACTAGTAAACCTCAGAAGAATTCTGCTATATTTCCTGGTGTCTACAGATTTCTGCTTATGGAGAAACAGACAAGGTTTTGTCACTGTGTACAACAGTCTACAAAAACATTTTTTCTTGACTGGGAAACAGGATAATTTTCCACCTCCTAGTTCTTTCAGAAGAGTGAAAATTGCTGAAATGCTAGGAACTTTTTGGCAGTGTCCATAACGGTGAATGCCGGGCTTGAATTCAAACCACTACTTTATCCAACTTGCCAAAAATGTCCACCAAGAATTTCTCCCTGTCAGATTATTCTGAGAAAGAGCATTTTAATCTGCAAAGTAATAATAACAATAATGATAATAGTGACTATATGCCAGAAGTTCCATTGAGTGCTTTAAGACTTAGTGTCTAGAATCTGGTGAGCCTCCCAAGATAAGGGCTTCTGAGTTCTACTCCTGTTTCTTGATTAAGTATTAAAAAGGTGGTTCAAGGAGAGGATAACAGGAAGTTCTCTGAGGTTGATCAGCTGGATCTGACACTTGAGCACACCGATATAGAAAGCAACCAAGGGGCAATGTCATCTGATGCTTTTTTCTTCACTGTATCACTTCTCTTACAATTTAGTGCTTAAGCAACAGCCATTAATTTGGCTCATGATTTTGTGGATTGGCGGTTTGGGCTGGGCACAGCTGATGGTTCTTCTGGTCTGAGCTGCGCTCAGTTGATCTCAACTGGGCTTGTGCATGCATCTGCATTCCTGCTGGTGGATTGGCAAGGGCCTGCTGGTTTGTAGTAGCTAGCCTGGTCTTGATTGTTGGCATGTCTGAGCTCACTCTCCATGTTGGTTTCTTATCCTCCAGGTGGTTAGCCTGGGCTTGTTCACATGGTGGCTGGCTTCCATGAATAGCCGGAGAGCAAGCCTGTGAGAACAAGAACAAGTACTTTTCAAGTATTTGTTTTTGTTCCTTTGCCCCTGTCCTACTGGTCAAAGCAAGGTACTAGTCAGCCCACATTCAAGGCATGGACCCAAACTCCAACTATTGGTGAGAAACACTACCTTGTGAAGCTGTGGATATGGGAAGGAGATTAATCTGTGGCCATTTTTCTAATCTACCATATTTGCAAAACACAAAAGCCTTTTAAGAGTTAAGGGGCCAATATATTATACCTTTCTCCCACTTTTGAGTTTAGAGCCAATTGAGAGAAGTACACTGGGGTCAAATGGGGCAGATCAAATACCAGCTTAATTATTGGTGAAGTTAGAATGGGAACCCATTTTGCATTTGTAGTCTGAACAGACTTTCTATAATCCTCTCCTAGAATGAAAGTAATCATCTGGAATTGAAGCTGTCCCCCTGCAGGAGCTTAAAAATGTGTGTGTGTTTTGAGTAGGTGGATGCCAGAGAGAAAAAAAAAAAAACACAAGGAAGAGGGCTAGGTAGAGACTCTTTTCCTCTGCTCTGTAGGGAAAAATTGTATCACTGAATGCTAGATACTTCCTTTCCCATCATGGGAATAAAGAAAAAAGTGGAAAGAGAGGGAAAATGTTACTATTTATAAGCCTAGGTGGGAATGCTATGAGAGGGAGAAAAATGGTCCCCCTTATCCCAGATGTGTTTCCAAGCAATGAAGATACTTACGTTTGTGTGTGCCCTGAGTGTCGTTTTTTCCCTCTAAGTAAATTGCTTGGCAATGAAACCATTTATCATTGTGAACATGTGGATGGTAAGAGAAGATTCCCAATGGGACTTGCAAAATAGGACTTCTTCATTGATAGTGTAAGTGAAAATAAATTAAAAACCCAGGAATTAGCTTCATTGAAATACATCAGTAGTTACATACTGCTGCAAGATGAAGAGAAATGGCTGTCAATTCCATGACCTATTTCAAAATACTGGAGAAAATTTGATGTCTTGGGAGTGAATGCCGTGTAACAGAAGTGATGCTTCTATTTTTTTTTTCTAGTGTTCCAAGACCCGAAGTAGCTTGACCATGCCCTAAAATGAAGCTGTTTATGTGCTTTTTATTTTTCCTTAGCAATTCCATGAGCACTTGTTGGGGGCTGAATTTTCATGGTCACAACAGTCCTCAAAACTAAGGTTTGGGCGGGGCTCAGTGGCTCACATCTGTAATCCCAGCACTTTGGGAGGCCGAAGCAGGCAGATCACCTGAGATCAAGAGCTTGAGAGCAGCCTGGCCAACATGGTGAAACCCTGTCTCTACTAAAAATACAAAAATTGGCTGGGCGTGGTGGTGGGTGCCTGTAATTCCAGCTACTTGGGAGGCTGAGGCGAGAGAATCACTTGAGCCCGGGAGGTGGAGGTTGCAGTGAGCCGAGATCACGCCTTTGCACTCCAGCCTGGGCAACAGAGCGGGACTCCGCCTCAACAAACAAACAAACAACCAAAAACACAAAAACCCCAACTCAGGTTTGTAAAGATGTTAATTTGCTTTATTTCTGTATAAAACAGTGTCTTAGCTCTCATGCCTCCAATTCCATAAGGGCAAAAAACTTAATCTTGCAAAACCAAGTATGCTCAGCCAAGTCTAGTTTAATACTCAGTCTCTTTGGGACAAATACACAATTAACTCAAGATGCTTAGCTTCTCCTTTTTCCTTTGTTTCTCCTCAAGGGACAGGAATCAGATGGGCATAGGGCATCTGGTCCATGATCATCCTTTGTTCGTGCTGATCTCTGATGAAATATCTGAAGAAGGTGGGTCCCTATCACCATGTGTTGACATTTGCTTCTGTGGTGTCTGTGGTACTATGTGGTCTCCCACTGATAGGCCATGCTTTCTGTTTCTTCTTCATCCTAACTCAGGCCCCTTTGGGCCAGTTACAATCTCTTAGCCCTTCTGCTCTCCCCTCAATCGCTTTGCAACTCTTAGTGTCTTTTCCCCCCATTTCCCCACTGGGGTGCATGGGACACCATTCTGTGAGGCCACTTTCAGGCCCATCCATCAAGACTCCTTCCTCTGCCATTGTTAACTCTACCACTCTTGTGCCTTGCTGGGAACAACCTCTCTGCAAGGTTTGCAGACTCCCCAAGGGACCCTGGAGGGGAAGATACAGATATTTTATGCTCTGAGATCTCCCCAAGACATTTGGTGTTTCTGTGAATCCTCTCTCCTTTCCAGATTTAAGTGGAAAGGGCAAGAGTGAGAATGTGGTCCTTTCCTCTGGAACTTACTTCAATAACCAACTCTCTTACTTCCCTCTTCCAAATGTATGGTAACCTGTCTCCTCTTCTTAGCCCATGTCATATATGTTACCTCTCCTCTCAGGCTTCTTTATCATTTATTTAATGCCCATGCCTTCTTTTTTTCAAAGATCAGCTCTTGAGTATTCTCTCAAGGCTGTTAAGACTGCTGTCACTGTTACGGCTGTAAAACTGGCATTCTAAAACTCAGTCGAGTTTTGTTTTAGGCTGTATTATCCTTTTCCACTGAGGGTAGGACATACAGAAAGTTTTTGCTGCTGGTTGGCATGGTGCAGGGGGTGAAGGGCAGGGTTGTGAAATACAGGTGAAGAGCATTTCAGTTAATGTCACAGAATTCTCCCATAGAACCTTCTACATCTTACAGATAAGGCTTCTGTGGTGGGCCAAATACAAGTTTTAGTATTATTGCAGTTTTTTCAAGTTAAGAATCATTCCCACCAAACATGCAGCTAGAGGCAGTAGTAGGTTGATGTAGTTACTTCTGGGGCAGGGGAGGGGGCTGGTTGTGCTGTGGTCTGGGAAATAGATCACCATAGGAGATAGAGGAGCTGATGCTGGCACCGGGAAATGGGATTGGTGCCTCCACCAATGGGTTGAAGAGAACAGACAACTGTTCGTAGCTCCACAGCAGCCTAGGGCAACCACGTTAGCTTCATCAGCCATTCCATGTCACCTACAGCATCAAGATATCATCCATTTGTTCACCAGTAAATTTCTCTCCCAATAATGGAACACAGGAACCCACTACTCCAAGATTAAGGAGAGTGGCGGGCAAGATGCTATAGCTTTGAGGTACAGTGCTGTCCTCTGAGGTAGGTGAAAAAAGATTTGCATCTTGGTTTCCCCTTTCCCAGCTGTGTGGCCTTGGGAAAGCTACTTAATCTTTCTAGGCCTTAGTCTTTTAAAAATCTGAAACGTGAAGAATGACAGAATATCTAATGTGGTGTGTGTGTGTGTGTGTGTGTGTGTTAAAAGAATTAAGTGAACTATGATATGTATAGTCCTTGGCAGAATGCCTGGTACTTAATCAGCACTCAATGAAGGTTAGCCATTATTCTTGCTGTGTTGTTTTTTAATTGTTATTGTTGTTGCCATTGCTATTCAGGAGAACACTGTAGACTTTGCTTTGAGCATTCTTTTTCCAGTGACTTATACTGTCCAATGTTAGATTAAGAATGGGCAAAGGTCAGGTGACAATTCAGTTAGATTGGCTCTAAGCTTTCTGTGGCAAGATCACAGTCATTCAAAAGGACAGCCACGTTGGAGCTCTGCCGTGTTTGGTGATGAAAGTATGGGCAAGGTGAGCTTTGCTGACATTTTCAAGGTCAAGCTAGGACTGATTTAGACCAGCCATGTTGGAGTCATAATTGCAAGTAGGTTTTCTTCTTTCCTATCACTTTGAGATTCTATTCTAAATACCATAAAATGATGACCATGATTATAGTACTTGTTAAGAGGAAAACAGTACCTTAACAATATAATTTGACATAAAAATGTTTTCCCAGACAGGCAATTTACAACGTAGCATGAGGGAAATTTATGAAATAAAAATTTCTGTCTTGTTTTTAGAGAACTTGGAACCATCCATGTAATAACCCCAGGGCTCCATAGGTTACGTATTAAGAATTTCTTTTGCTGGTTTCTCTGAGCACCAACATTCTGTGCCATCATCTGTCTCATAGGGCATCCAGCCCAGTGCTATACACATATCTAGTAGATGTATAATAAGTGTATAATAGGTGTATAGTATATGCCCACTAAACTGAATTGAAAAGTCTTCAGGACTCAAAATTATCCAATTGTAATGGGTAATGAGAAGCAATGAAACAGATTCATCCAGGGTTTCCCTCTCCAATTAGATTACATGGTAACTGTCTTGGACATGCCAGACTGAAGGTTTATTACTGAATTATCAGTCTGTGCTGAGCTCTGCCAGAGGTAAGATGAGAGAGCTCAGGAAATAAAGCCAAAGATGGGAAACTGGGAAGATGGCCAGTTGGTGCATCAAGGTAGAAGGGTGAGGCTGGAGTCAGGGCCTTGGAGAAAGCACGAGAAAGGCAGGGGCAAGTGGGGCAGCATTGAGGGAAACAGAGCTGATCGGGCTGGATCTGAGAATTTGTATACTGTTCTGAGAAATGTACTACTTGCCCTCTGAATGAGGGCAACTGGGAGAAACAGGTGTGATGGGAGGAAAACGGAGCCCCCTCTTCTTATTTCTTGATGAGCAGAGCATTTTGGCAATCTAGTGATAATAAAATACCTCCATGGGTGAGATGCTGGCTTCTCCAACTAGAAAGACATTCTCTACTGACCCAGAGCAGCTACTCAGGATCTCCTTGGGCTGAGTTTGGTGCAAAGGCTCATGAGAAGCGCTGGGACTGGCCCACAGTTGGCTACTGACCTTGGTTGAATGGAGGCAGAGGGTGCATCTGTATGATCTGCTGCCTTGTGCACTTAGGGCCTAGGAACTGGCAGGCAAGGTCAGAAGAACATGTGTTGCTAAGAAAATCCACCCAGCATGCAATTTTTATTACACCCAAATATAGGTCACGTTGAGGGTGTGCTTGGGGAAGCAAAATATCATTGTGTGGCTGAAATCCATAAGCAGAAGCTGTCAGTCTTGGGTGCCTCCTCACCCTGTCTGGCAGCAGCCCCTACAAAGCAAGAAATGAGTCCTTCCCATTAGCTTCCCCTTCTCCCACCAGTCTCATTACCCTCTGCTCATCCCCTGGATTCTGAATCAAGTTCAGGCTCCCTGCACAGCAGGGTTGCCAGCTGGTTTGACTTTATTCTGTGATTCACTGTGTAGCAGAGGGAGTTTCTCTGATAAGCCTGTTGAGGCTGGAAACTTAACCCTCCAAAATCTCCTTTACAAAAAGCAAATGCGGGAGGAGTTTCCCTTGGCCTTGCCTGGCAGATGCAAAATGTTCCCAGGAGCCAGGTCAGATATCCTTGTGTGCAACAGTGCCATGAGTGACCCCAGCTCCTCAGAGCACAGCTCCAGGACTGTGGGTATTAGGAGACAGTCTACAAATTCAACCTCAAAGGGTCTTCACTGGTGTTGGCCAACATGGGCCCATCTCTGTGACTGCTTAGGAGCCAGATGAGGCTATTTGGAAAGGTCTGGCCAGTTGTGTGATATCAGGCAACTTACCTGCCCTCTCTGACCCTGAATTTGTCATCTGCAAAACGGAGACCCTACTGCACATGTCCAATAGTGCTGGGATTCCAAATAGGATGCAGGTTAAGCATTCGAAGGCATCCTTGCTCACGGCAGTACCTAGTGCGTGCTTTGCTATTGTTTTCCTTTATTTTTAAATTGTCACCCACCTGCCTGTCTCCTGTCATGAACTCCTTAGCTATGTTTAATGGAGAGAGAGTTGGCCAAGATCCCCAGCCCCTGAAAAGTTCCTTAAGATCCATGATCACCCCAATAGGGAAGAGGACAGTTGAGGCAGTGGCTGCCCTTGATTTCTCACTGGGTGTTTGTTGGCCTCAGATTTCTGTGACATTTCCTACGGGGGTGAGCTAGGCTGGGCCAGTAGTGAATGTGGAGACTGCGAGAGCTACTTTTGTCTGGGCTAGAAGGGAAGGCAACTATTCTGGGGGCTTGACTTTGCCCCTTTCCTCTGGACTCCTAAGTTTTTCCAGTTTTTCCTTCAAGGATGGGAGTTTCTGGGATGGTGATGGTGGTGATTCTACTTTTTGGCACCTTCAGCTGCTTTGGGAGAGCACTTCCAAGATGCAAAACAATCCTCAAAGCAGGAATTCCAAGGAGCACCTTCCAGCAAGAAAAGAGCTCTAACCTCTTTTGAGTTTCCTCTTACAAGCTCCACTCCCCAGCCCCTGAGGCCAATCCTGCCACCTCCATGTCTCCTATGATTAATGCCCTGCATAGGTCTCCAGGCAGATGTCCCCAACCCTGGCTGCACTTTGGAATCACTTAGGGAGCCTTAAGAAGACACTACATGAGACCCACCCTAGACTCCAGTTGGAGTCTCTGGGAGTGGGCTAGATGAACCGTATTTTAAAAATCTTTGGCCGGGTGTGGTGGCTCACACCTGTAATCCCAGCACTTTGTGAGGCCAAGGTGGGTGGATCGTGAGGTCAAGAGTTCGAGACCAGCCTGACCAACATGGTGAAACCCCGTCTCTACTAAAAATTTAAAATTTAGCCGGGTTTGATGATGCATGCCTATAGTCCCAGCTAGGAGAATTGCTTGAGCCCAGGAGGCAGAGGTTGCAGTGAGCCGAGATTGTGCCACTGCCCTCCAGCCTGGGTGACAGAGCAAGACTCAGTCTTGGGTGGGGTGGGTGGGGCAGGGGAGTGGGAATCTTTCCAGATGATTCCAATCTGCAGCCATGGTCAAACGCTTCAGGGCTGGAGAATGTGAAGACTTTCTCTGAGTCACTTCTCCCTGACTATAACTCATTCCCTGCTTGGGTCTGAAGGAGGTCTGGCTTTGCCTGCCTGTCTGGCACATGCTTTGCACCTGGCCTGTCTGAATTGCATGTGTTTCAGAAGACCCCTCAGGGGCCTGGAGATGGTTTAGCTCCAGGGGAACAGACAAAGAGGAACTAAAGCTAGCCTTCACTGATTACAGTTTCAAACATCTTTGCATCATTTGCACGCTTGCCTGTTGTCGAAGGTCTTTATATAAAATGGCCACAGCCCTCAATATTCTCACTCTCCACTGCTTGATTCTTGTTTCATTTGTTTTCCTACTGGGAAACAGAACTTATTGCCACCTGAACAGTCTATCTTCTCCCCCTCTCCCTGAAATAAACATTATAAAATGTTTTCATTGTCTTCCTTCATTAGACTATAAGCTTCACGAGGGCAAAAATTTTATTTTTTGTTCATGCTGTATCTTGAGGATCTAGATACATCACACAGTAGATCCTCCATAAATATCAGAAAAAACAATTTTTTGAGTGAACAAATGAAGATTTGCTCTTCATAGTCTGGCCTGGTTGCTGTAAAGAAAAGATAGGAAGTTGATAGCCAAATATGGATCAAAACATTAACATAATTAAAAGGCTAGATGAGCATCTTATAATTTCTGAACACCCCAATCATGAATGTGGTGGGGGTCCTAATACCCCCAGCCCCTTCCTCAGTGCATCCAGAGACAAGCACATGGGTCTTTTTAAATTTTAAAGCTGATGATTGTAGGCAAACAGATCCTGTAAGGGAAAATCCCTCATTGTTCCTTTCCTCTGTGTAAAGCTAGCAGAGTCATTTGCCCAAGGTCACATGGCTAGTTAGCCATAAAACTAGGATTCAAAGTATGTGCCCAGGATGAGGATGAGGCTCAGCTCATAACCTGCACTGCACCAAGTACCATAAAGCTTGGTCACCCACCTAGGTATTACTAAAAGGCTCTCTACATGTTTTTTTGCTCCCCTAAATTTCTCTTTTTGTCTCTCTCCCAACATTCATACCTCAATGCACAAGGTGTTGGGAATCTCAACCAATGGCAGACCTCTTATAGGGGCAATGTGACTTGCAGGATTAGGCCCCCTATAAAAACTGAAGCACCAGGTAGCAGGGGAAGGATGAATTTCCTTTAGTTAGCTCACATGTTAGAAAGAGTAGAAGGGTCTATCTAGCTTTACTATCTCTTGCTCTCTCTCTCGCTCTCTCTCTCTCATCTCTATATTATTTATCTTTCTATCATCCATCTCTATCATCTACACACACACACACACACTTATGTTTTAATGCACCATCAGATAAAACACGCTCTTCTTCCCTAGGAAAGACAAACAAGGGGAGGAGAGGGGCCAGGAAGTTTCTTCTACTTGCAGGAGACACCTGGTGTGGGAAAGAAACACCCTATATACTCCCAACCACATGCACTGTTTCTAAAACCCAAAATGCCTCTGAAAGTCAAATGCAAGCCTGAGAGGTGAATCATTTGATTAAGGTCCCATAGCTAGCAAGGAATTTTCACCAGGGATGTCTTGCCCAAAGTCTGCATTTTCTATGACTGCCAAGCTGCCTCTCAGATAATCTATTTGATGCATACATAGTAAGAGGTCAGTTAGGGACTGGGTTAAGAAAGAAGGTGATCTTCATGGATGGGCTTCAGCTGGATGAATCTCAGCCTTCTTAAGCTTCTTGGTCAAGATCTACATAGAAATGCAGAAACCACTTTGATGGGGGTTGGTGGGCATGGCTAGTAAAACTGTGGAAGGGGTGTGTTGTGCTGAACCCCTATTAACCTCAGTAGGGAAGCCAGCAGGTTCAAGAAGTTGAAGAAGAGACACAGAGCCATCATATGAGACATGGGGTTTCTTTTTTTTTTTTTTTTTTTTTTTTTTTTTTTGTTGTTGTTTTTTGAGATGGAGTCTCGCACTGTCGCCCAGGCTGGAGTGCAGTGGCGCATCTTGGCTCACTGCAAGCTCCGCCTCCCGGGTTTACACCATTCTCCTGCCTCAGCCTCCTGAGTAGCTGAGATTTCAGGCATGTGCCACCATGCCCGGCTAATTTTTTTTCTTTTTTGTATTTTTAGTAGAGACGGGGTTTAACCATGTTGGTCAGGCTGGCCTCAAACTTCTGACCTCGTGATCTGCCTGCCTCGGCCTCCTGAAGTTCTGGGATTACAGGCATGAGCCACCCTGCCTGGCCAAGACTTAGGGTTTCATCAGGGGATTACATACAGGGGATAGTCCAACGGCAGCGGGCTGGACAGGACAGGCTGGACAGGAGAATCGCCTTACATATAGAAATGGTCCAGTGGCAGTGGGCTGGATAAGATAACTGCACTGCCTGGTGGTGGTGGGCTGGGCAGGAAAACTGCAGTCACTTGCAAACAGCATGCAGTTGATACAGCATTTTCACTTAACACCTTCCCCTTAATGACCTCCACCTGGCAATCTTCATTTAACCCAAAACTCAGGGCATCAATTCCCTATATGGCCTGTGATCCAAAGGACAGGCTGGGGTCCAGATGTTCCTCACAGACCACGAATGAATCTCTGGGTTGGCTATGCCTGGAATTCCTAGCTTGGAACATACATTCAGGTGTGTGTGCCATACAGGGTCATTCTAAGGATATGCTTGTTATTACCCTCAGGCATGTATAGCATGCAGGGTGTTACTAGCAAAAATTATTTCCAGTGCAGGACACTGTTTTTTTGTACCTATTTGTGGAAATCAATCAAGCCCCTTCTATTTCTTCTTCTGTAGGAGAGATGGATTTGGTTCAGTAAATAAAAGCTCAGGGTTCGAGAGGAGATGAAAATTGGCTTGTCCCCCTTTGGTGATAATGATCAATGATACCTACCATTTATTCAACACTAACTATACATCGGGCACTGTGTCAAGAACTTTGATTTCATAGACTAATTTCTTTCTCCTTATAACCCTATGTGGTAGGGTCGATTGTTATTTTTATTTTAGGGCTAAAGAAACAGAGGTTACCAGCTGGTACATAGCAGAGCCAGGAACCCCATCTAGTTCTGTGGACTCTGAACCAGTGTTCTCATGACTTTTGTGAGATTTCTGAGTGGAAGGCAGACACTTCTTATTCCTGAAAATGTAGTTTCCCTGACCTGAGTGTCCATGAGGGTTTTTCTTGTGGTCCAAGGCTGTGCACACTGAATGAAGCAGTCCTCAAGTCTCCTTCCCCATCTGCTGAAGTGGGATAACATCCCAAGATGAATGGAGAAAAAGAGACTAAGCCCCCCCTTCCCTCCATCCTCATCAGACAAGGGGAGTACCCTCACTCTGGCTGGGACCCTGCCCTGGCAAACTGCCTGGATAGAGTTATTTTATTTGCACATAGAAACCTGTCTCTTCCACTGTGAGAATTTTCCCAAGGAGGGGTCATCATTTGAGCTATTTTGATATTTCCCTGAGAAGCAGGAGAGTCCACTTCGGGTGGCTCCATTTTTCCAGGCATTACTGGGACCCAGTGCCTCTGCCTGTAAGGAGCTGTTTTATCTGAGATCAGCTCACATCCAGAACCTGCTGACAGCATTGAAGTTCCAACTTATTCAGCACCAGGGCATGTTATATTTTCCCCAGCCTTCACCAGGCGTCTAATATGAATTACTTCTTGGGGAAAAAAGACCATTCACAGACCTGCCTTTTAAATGCGAATGTGTTTGCTTATCAGATTGTCTGACTGGAAGGAGGCGTGCCAGCACCTTGGCATAAACCTTTGTGGAGAAAAATGGACTGCATGACTACTGGACATCTAAACATTTTTAAATAAATAGGCAGAAAGTCATGGCACTAATTAATAAGTCAAGAAACTTCCACAGAGCTTCATGGGCTCTTCTACCTAGACCAGAGACCTAGTCTGGTGAAATGCATGTGCTGATAATTGTGGAGGACAACTGTGGCTTTTGCCGGCCTGATAAACACCATGTTTATCAGGTGTTTATCCTGATAAACATGATGTTTTGGCCATCCAGAAGGAGCATCCAGATTTTTCTGTGGGAGATGTTCTCTTGCCCATTTGATCTAGTCTTGGTGTATAATCAGGGTGCCCCGCCAACAGCCAAGGGGTGGGCATGAGACTCAAGCTTGGCCATTCGCATACTTTCTCCCTGTAATTTAAATTTTACTACAAGGAAAACTTGGTGGCATCCATTCATTCCAACAACAATTGCCCAAATAGACTGTTCACTTGTTCCTGCCTCCCAGATCCCCAGCTGTATTGGTTCCCATTCTTTTTAAGAGCTGTTTCCCCAGCTTTCCATTTGATTCCTTGAACTGTCCCATACCATGCCAATAAATTCATTTTTGCTGAACTCAGAATTGCTGTTCGTTGTTCACAGCCACAGCCTCCAAAGGCTGTAATGATTCTCACAGGGGACACATTTCTTTTTGTGCTCTCTGTCTGTGCATTGTACAGTGGGCCAAGTTCCTGAATGTGCCCTTGTCTGTCTTTAACTGAAACTGGTCTTGCCTCACTCCCTGGTCTGAAGGCACTGGACTAGTACAGAGATGACCATTGGGTGGATCAGGTATAGCCCTTCCTAGAGCCCCCCTGCACCCCCAGAGGTGGCCTGGCAGGCTCAGCCAAGTAGGTGCAGTTCTAATCAGCTGAGCCAATCTGACCAGCTCCCTGTAAATTTGGAAGAGAGACTATGGAAAAGAGTGACCATTTGGTAACAAGAGGAAACTGCAGTGGATGCACTGGGGGGAGCAACCTTCTGACACTGGTCTTCTCTCTGCCCCTACGGTATCCCACAGCCACTCCCTAAAGTAGAGACTCACCCTCTGCCTGAATCCTGCTGCTCATTCAGAGCTCACCTTAAATGTCACTCCCCAGAGTAGTCTTCCCTGACTGCCCAATCTAAAGTAGCCACTACTTATCACCTCACTCAATGTTTGTCCTTTGCACTCTCTCATGTTTTCTTGTTAGTTAATTATCAAGTTAATTATCTCCCCACAGCTAGAACATAAGCTGCATGAAGGCAGTTCCTTGTCTGTTTTGTTCATGCTCTCTGGATCTAGAACAGTGCTCATCTCATAATTGGCACTAAGTATATATCAAGTGACTATATCTCCCATCTTATTCAATATATTATTGTGGTTGAACTGTGTCAGTCCTAATGCCTGGTACCCATGAATGTGCCTTATTTGAAAACAGGGCTTTACAGATGTAATCAAATTAAGATGGGGCCATACTGGAGTATTAGGCCTAATTTAATGACTGGTGTCCTTATAAGAAGAGGGAAATTTGTACACACACAGAAGGAGAACACCATGTGAAGCTGGAGGCAGAGATTGGAGTGACACGCCTACAAACTGAGGGGCACCAAAGACCACCAGCAACCACCAGAAGCTGGAAGAGGCATGGCACAGATGACCACAAGAGCCTCCAGAAGGAACCAACCATGCTGACGCCTTGATTTTGGACTTCCAGCCTCTCAAATTGTGAGCAAATAAATTTTTGTTGTTTTAAGCTACCCAGTTGTGGTACACTGTTATGGTAGCCTGATATAGTTTGGCTGTGTCCCCATGCAAATCTCATCTTGAATTGTAGCTCCCATAATTCCCACATGTTATGAGAGGGATCCGGTGGGAGGTAATTGAAGCATGGAGAAAGGTCTTTCCCATGCTGTTCTCATGATAGCGAACACATCTCATGAGATCTGATGGTTTTATAAATGGGAGTTTCCCTGTACATGCTCCCTTTGCCTGCCACCATGTGAGACGTGACTTTGTTCCTCCTTCACCTTCTGCCATGATTGTGAGCCCTCCTCAGCCATGTAGAACTGTGATTCCATTAAACCTCTTTCCTTTATAAATTACCCTGTCTCAGATATGTTTTTATTAGCAGCATGAGAACAGACTAATACACAGCTCTAGCACATTAATATATGTCCTAAATGAATTCCTTTCCTAGCATCACAAAGAATGTACAAGCTATTCCTCTCTTCTCTAAGTTGAGAACAATTCCTTATAATCCAAAGCTTGGTAAAGTGTCACTTCATTTATTCATTCAAATATTTGTTGAGGTGTCTACTACAGGACAAGCATTGGAGATATAAGAATAAATAAGACATTTTTGATGAAATTAGTCTCAGCCAATTAGCAACATTCTCCTCTGTGCTCACATAGCACTTTGCAGGGATCCTTAGTGTAGCCCTTATTACACTGCATTTTAGTTAGAGTTTTCCACCTTCTTGATCTCAAGGGCCTTATGTTCTTTAATGCTTGGTGCTCCACGCCTGGTACAAAGAAAATATTCAATAAATCCAATGAATGAATGAGTGGTGGATTAAATATTATATTCATAATACAAATAGGGAAATAATATGCTGCTAAAGATATTGTTGGAAATCCTTTACCTTTCCTTGTCATGTGTGTATTGTAGGGTGAGGGAGGTTATACAGTGTGGTGGGATGAATAGGAAATGCAGGTCAGGAGATCTGGTTTTAATTCTAGCTCTACTGTTGGAGATGACCAATCCTGTATGGCCTCAACAGGGAGGGCCAGAGTAAATAAGTAAAACTGGGGGAGAGGGAGGGATGGGATGAAAGGAGAGACAAAGGGAGGGAAAGAGAGAGAGAAGGAGGAAGAGAAAGAGATGGAAAGAGAGACAGAGAGAGAGATTGCAGCTCTCGCAGCTTAGTATAATAACTTCCCAGGAGTCAGAGATAAACAAACATAAAATGGGTTGCTTTGGGAGGTGCTAAGTTCTTCATTTCTTCACTGCTGGAGGTGTTCAAGGAGAGGCTGGATGGATGAGTGATGCTTGTCAGGAATCCTGCAGACTCAGGACACTCATGGAGAGGATGCTGATGGGATTAGATGGTCTTTCACCTCACACAGGTGGTATGATTCTATGTGTGTGACTTTGGCCAAGCCACCCTGTCTCTGTACGCAAGCTTCCTAGTCACCTGAAGGAGCTGCCTCTTCAAGTTCCTGAGAGTCAGAGTTCTCTGAGTCTAACTGAATTGATATGTCTGCAGTCTAGAGAGCTGGGCAAAGGGGACGGCCAGCACTGGGCTTTCTGGGGAAGAAAGGTCACTGGGGCTTCCACAGGGCAATGTGAGGCACTGGAGGCAAATCTTGATGTCTTAGGAAAATATAAATTAAATTTCTCTGCTAGCTCTAAACAAAAGAAGCTGTGCAAGGTCTTTTGCCCTAGAAATAAGAATTTCTGGGAGGCAGGAGGGTTCAGTGGCATAGGCTAGAAGTGGATGTCTTATCATAAACCCAAGAACAGGGCTAGTCCTGGAACAGAGTCCAATGACCAGGCCATGGTGTGGTCTGAGGTATGCAGTCATCAGGTCTTTTGTAATTATCTGTTTGTAGTAAACATGAATTGCTTTCTCATTCATGTAGCTTATTTTGTAATATTTGCTTTTTCTAATTAATTTTCAGTAAAAATTAAGTTTGAAGTAATAAACTGAAAAAGTTGCAAGGAACACATTGAGTTGCAAGAAAGCAAAATAGTGGATAAAACGGTGTCAGAAAGAATCACCCCAAACCAGACATACAAATACACGCAAGAGTCGTCCGTCTTATGAAAGGAGAGTGGGGTTGGGAAGTAGGAATATAAAAAGAGGAAAAGTGGTTCTCTTTTACTTCTATAGAGATCTATTAAGATTTATTTTTAGTGAGTTAAAGGTAAGTAACTAAGCTAAGTTACGGGCTGCTCAGGGTTTGATCGCCTCCTAACTCTGTATTTATTAGCATCTGCATGCTCTTTACAGGTTTGCAAAGTCCTCTTGTAGTTGGTATTTATTTAGATCTTCATTACAACCTTGCACATTAATATCTTATTATCTCCAGTTTGCAAATTAGGAAAACAAAGCTAAGGGAAGGGTTAAGTTCAAGATTGCATGATTAGCCCAGGTCTTTCAGCTCCAAGCTCAGCATTGCCCACCTCTCCTCACCCAATGTCCTATTCCATTCCAATCCTGCTGTACTCAGCTAACTCTCACGTGGCTTCAGACACTTTTGTCCAAAGGAAAGATGGTAGCTTTCGCTTCCCTAGTTTTGCAACCAGATGTTCAAACTGCAGGTTTACCACTTACTTGTTTGTGACTGTGGGCAATTCACTTACCTTTTTGACTTTTTGTTTCAATGGAGACAGTAATTCTCATTTTACAAATGTCATAGTGTCAGTTCATTCATTCATTTCAATTATGCACTCAAGAGATATTCCCTGAACATTGAATCTTTGTCATTTGCTGGTTCTGGGTATGCTGAGCTCAAGACTATGTTCAACTTCAAAGACATAATGAAAGTGAAAGCATTTTGTAAACACCAAGTTGCTAACTAAATGTAAACTCCAGTATTATTTCCACTTCTAGATTATTTGCATTTTATATGGTGATAGCTGGAAGAAAAACAAGCCTGGCACAAAAAGCTGAATTCCTAATGATGAAATTTTAGGCATTCTGGAGGGTATGTGTGTGTACTTATGGTAGGGAGTGGTTGATAGTGAATGGGGGGAGGACACTGGAAAGAGGAAAAGTATTTCTTTATTATTATTATTTTATTGTGGGCCTGTAACAAGAAGTAGAGCTTTTACTTAGGAAATATTTTACTTAGGAAAAATCTCCCCCATGGAAGGACAATAATGCCAGGCTTTCTCTAGAAATGGAAATAGAGAAGTGGAGTTCAACTTTCTTTGTGAAGCCCTACAGATAAACTCATACCATTGTTTGCTACTCAATCATTAGGAAAAGCAGAGTTTCTAGTCTCTGATAAACTTTCCTTGCTTATAAATACTATCTTTGCTGACTCTGTGTGAACTTCAAAGCTGATAATGAATATATTTTAACTTCCCACAAAAGGAAAGAGCTTGCCCCTTTATTGAAAACATCCATTCTCCCTGGAAGCCACCACCTCACTGATTCTACTTCCTAGGGCTGGAAGGCTTGATGAAAACCTGGGCTGGATTTTCAGTCATTTCACTCCAAGAAAGACCATTTTGGAAGTCCTGGTGAAAAGGTCCTTTTTGTTTTTGGCTATACACTTTCCACAGAAGAATGAAAGACAACATACCTATCTATATTTATACCTATTTCTATGTCTATATCTATGTGTCTATAAATGTATATTGATAGGAATCTGGTGTCTGAGTTTGTCTTCCAAATGCCAATACATTCATTCACATGTGTTAGACATCATCTGTTTCTGGCTGTATAGTAGGTCCTTGGATCTTAAATGTATTATATTTAGCCTCATTCTGGGCCCTCTTACTTCTGCACACAGGAGCTGAGTGCCTGGAACAGATACCAAATCTTTTAAGCCCTGTCTCCATCTTGGGTCCTGTCTGGGTCTCCCTGCTGCATCTGCAACTTGCCATTCCTGTTACTAGGTTTATGCTGTGGAGGATGCTCCATCCTGGTGATTCCATCAACCTGATGTGCACTCTCCACAGTCACCTCCTCATTGAGCTCCTCTTAATCATGGCTGCCATGATACTAAGCACTGTGCTTAGTGCTCAGAAAGCATCATCTCCAGGCCGGGCGTGGTGGCTCACACCTGTAATCCGAGCACTTTGGGAGGCCAAAGTGGGCAGATCACTTGAGGTCAGGAGGTCCACACCAGTCTGACCAACATGGCAAGACCCATCTCTACTAAAAATACAAAAATTAGCTGGGCGTGGTGGCGGGCGCCTGTAATTCCAGCTACTCCAGAGGCTGAGGCATGAGAATCGCTGGAACACAGGAGGCGGAGGTTGCAGTGAGCCGAGCTTTCACCACTGCACTCCAGTCTGAGTGACAAAGCAAGGTTTTGTCTCAAAAAACAAAACAAAACAAAAAACAAAAAAGAAAGCATTATCTCCAATCTTCATAACAACTCCAAAATGTGCACATATTATACCTGCTTTATGGATGAGGAAACTGTGACTCAGGGGCTCACTTGAGGCAACAGAACTGGCGAGTACCAGAGTTGGAATTTAAACAGCCACCCAGTTCCAGCCTCTGAGACCCTTTGACTCTGCCTTTGATTTTCTGAGCTTCTTTGGTATTTTTATGCAAGACATGATGAATGAAGGCCAGTGAAGGAACACCTCAATAAATGGCAGGTGTTATTTTGATGGTGGTACACGCTGGGTTACTTGAATACCTGTAACCCAGCTCTGGTGTCTGTGAGTCCCTAGAGGCAGAAAGAAATATCCTGTCATCCCAAAACAATTCATTCATTTATTTAACATGTATTTGTAAAATGCTGTCATATGCTAGGACTATTTTAGGCACCAGGAATATAGCTATGAAAAACAGACAGATATCTGCCCTCCAAGAGCATCAATTAACCAATCAATATTTTGTCAGGTAGAGACAAATACTGTGGAGAAAAACACAATCTGTCAGAGGATAGAGAGAACCCCTGAGAGATTGGGCAGATAAATTCCCAGTTTATATAGAATGGCCAGGGGAGGTCACAGTGATAAAGTAACATTTGGACAAAGACCTGAAAGAAAGGAAGTTGCAAATCGTGTGGATATCCAGGAGAAAAGAATTTCAGGCACAGGGGCATCAAGTGCAAATGTCTTGAGGCAGAATCCTTGCCTGGTCTACTTGATACACAGCAAGAAGTCCAGCACAGGTGAAGCAGAGGGAGTGAGGTGGGGAGAGGTTGTGGAAGGGAGCTAGGGATCAGACTGGGCCTCAACAGGCATTATGATAAGGTTCTTTCTCTTTGAGTGAGAAAGGGAGCCATTGGGGGGGTTGTGGGAAGAGATGCAACATGATCTAACTTATGCTTTAAAAGGATAATTGTGGGTGATATTTGTAGAAAACTCTGAAAGCTGGGAAGATAGAAGCGGAGTGAGCATTTAGAAAGGTCCTGTGATAATCCAGGAGAGAAAGATGGTGGCTTAGACCAAGGCCATTGCAGTGAAGCTGGTAAGCAGTGATTAAATTCCGGATATATTTTGAAGGTTAAATTGACAAGGCATACTGATGGGGTCTGAGAGAAAGAGACCAGTCATGTATGAGTCCAGTGTTTGCCATTTCCTGAGAATGTATGTTCTCTCTATTAGAATGTAAACTTACAGGGGCTGAGTTCTTCATCTGTTTTATTCAATCCCAAGTGCCTAGAACAATGCATAATACATAGAGGAACATATATATATTTAATGAATATGAGAGAAACTGGCTTGAGAGTGGGACTCAAGAGTTTATCTGTCCTTTTTTTGGAAAAAAAAATAGAGCCTTGTAAGGTAAGGAGATTAGATTTTTGTATGAGTGCCACAGGAAGCCATTGATAAGTTTAAACAGCAGAAGATGATCTAAGTCTCCTTAAAAATTGAGATATAATTCATACAACATAAACTTTACTATTTAAAAATGTACTATTAATTGGTTTTAGCATTTCAGAATGTGTGCAGCCATCACCACAAATTCCAGAACATTTTCATCATCCCCCAGCAAAAAACTCCATGTTTGCTAAAAGTTACTCCCCATTCTCCCTTCCCCTTAACCTCTGGCAGCCACTAATTTACTTTTGTTCTCCGTGGATTTGCCCATCATGGTGTTATGTCAGTTTAAAATATATTCTCCCAGTCTGTAGCTTGTCTTTTCATTCTCCTAAGAGTGTCTTTTGAAAATAAATATTACTAATTTTGATAAAGTTTAATTGATCAATTTTTAAAATGGATCATGCTTTTGGTGTTGTAGCTAAGAAAGCTTTCCTTAACCCAAGGTCACAAAGATGTTTTGTCTATATTTTCTTCTAGAATTTATATATTTCACATTTAGGGTTGTGATTCATTCTGATTTCATCTTTTCATATGGTGTAAGGTATGGATCAAAGTTCTCCTTTTGCATATGGATGGTCAGTTGTTCCAGAACCATTTGTTGATCTGAGCTGGTTTTGAAGAATAACTAGAATGTCATCAACTAGACAGATGAGGGCAGAAGCAGCAGCAGGGACACAATCATGGTGGTGGGAAGGAGCAGAGATTGTGATTAAGGGACTGTGTAAGTTTTGTGGCTGGCTGGCGAGTTACATGTGAACTGAGAATGGTGGGATTTACGACTTCTGAGGGACACAAAGTCCAGACCATGGAGAACCTAGTACACACTAGTATTTTTCTGAAGTGTTAGACTTGGAAATGTTCTTGGAGATTACCAATTTACTTTCCTTCCCATTTAAGCCACGATCTTAAAGGGAAGGTGACTCATGTTCTATTTTTGTACAGGACTAAGCCCTACCCAGAGGGTGCTGACTAATAGATCAATTCCGTCTTGGAGAGAGGACTCTAATGTCATGGTGCCCTGTCTGACCCAGTATTTTCATCAGTGCCTGGGATGAGGATAGGGGAGGCACTTTCATCAAATGTGTGAAAGACCCGGATTTGGGAGTGAAGAAAATGTGTTGAGTGAGACAGTCAAGATCCCAGAAGATGTCAGCAGCTTAGAATTCTCATCAAATTTAACAAGAAGGCATTTAAAAAGGCTAATTGTTAAGTTTTATGCTTGGATTTACAAAGCAGCTGAATAAACAAAGGATTGGGGAGTCAACGCTCAGCAACCCATCACAGTGAAAACATCACAGAGGGAGGAGCACCTAAATAGATGAAAGCCCACATGAGGAAAACTAGGATAATTTTGCTCACCATTGGGAGAAGGCCAGGGTCCTGATCTGCTCTTCAGTTTGCCTATTAGTTTGTTCTCCCCCTGCTAATAAAGACCTACCTGAGACTGGGTAATTTATAAAGGAAAGAGGTTTAATTGACTCAGAGTTCCACAGGGCTGGGGAGGTCTCAGGAAACTTACAATCATGATGGAAGGGGAAGCAGACACATCCTTCTTCACATAGTGGCAGCAAGGAGAAATGCTGAGCAAAAGGGGGAAACGCCCCTTATAAAGCTATCAGATCTTGTGAGAACTCACTATCGTGAGAACAGCAGCATGTGAGTAACCACCCCCATGATCCAATTACCTCCACCGGGTCCCTGTTATTACACGTGAGGATTATGGGAACTACAATTCAAGATGAGATTTGTGTGGGGACACAGCCAAACCATATCAGCTTAGATCTGACAACACCTGAAAAGCATTCTATTTTAGGGACCACAGTTTAAGATACATGGCTGCCAAATACAGACTCTGGAGCTAGACTGTCTAGGTTCATGTCCCAGTTCTGTTTCCTAGTGGCTGTGCAACCTTGGGCAAGTTCCTTAACTTCCCTGTACATCAGTTGCCTCATCTATAAAATAGGAATAACAACAATGTCATGGCTTGCTGTGAAGTGGCAATGAGTTAATGTATAAAGTGCTTAGTATGAGCTATGTAGAAATTAGCTAAAATTATTATTTGGTTACCATTTACCGAAAACTCAATTGTGCTGGACTCTATAATAAATATTCTTTATATATTAGGTCCATCAATCATCACAATAATCTTACAAAGTGGAGATTTTAACCATATTCTATAGATGAGGATGTTGAGGTTCAAAGGCCTAAGCATGTAGCCCGTTCACAGACAGCCTTGAAATTATACTCCCACAACTCAACTCCAGGTTTGCCTGACTTCCGAACTGATGCTTCCCACTACTACATTGCATTGTCCCTTGAAGTTGATTCCCAGGAGAATGATCAAAATATTGAAGGGTTCAGAGCCATATCATAAGGAGAAGTTGATGTGAAGAAGGTGGCTAAACATGGAGAGTAGATGCCATGTGTAGGAGGAATCAGACTTGTTTGGTGTTTAAAAAGTCATTATCTACTGAAGATAAATTCCAGATCAATTTAACAATCATATTCTCTAGAGATGGAATGGGTAGCTTCATGTGTAAATGAGTTCCCCATTGCTGGAGGTGTTCAAGAAAGGCAAGTAGAATTCAAGCACAGGATAGATGGTTGGAGTTAATGTCTTTTGAAGCTCTTAGAATGCTGTGATTGTCCATCCCTGTCTTGGAACCCTAGTATCTTTGTTTTGAAAGTAATTTTAATGATATTTATATCTTACCAATTCTAAAGGGCATTGTGAGGGTTAAGAAAAAAGTGCTCATTAAGCACGCCAAGATCTGAAGAAGAAGTGCCCTACTTTAAGATAAACTATTATTATAACACTATATGTAATTGCCAAGTAGATAATGGAACCAAGAATTTGCTAAACTCATGTACATAGCAAACTGTGATAATTTCTTAGACCAAAGTGTTCATTGCAAGTGCCCATGTATTGCAGCTGATAATTGCTGTTGGATTCTATGCCTTAATACGTAGCAAATTCTCAAATTATTTGCAAGTTTCAGAAACAAAGTAGAACAAAAACAAAAGCAATCTTGCTATGCATTTGGAACCTCCCTCAAGGATTTCCCAACATATAAATGCTGACATTCCTAGTGATTAAGCAGAAATTTAATTATGAGATCTGGAGAAGGGACCAAGTTATGGCCTCATGGGGATTGGTGATGCTCCTATTGGAAGTTCTGGTTTGGGAGAATGGACTATGGTTCTTGTCCATTTCTAGTTTGCTTCTCTAGCCAGTGACGTATTGGCATATTTTTGTCCATTTGGGCCAATGAGACTTAATTGCTTGCTAATTTTGTATTGAATTGAATTAATTTCAAGACCAAATTAATTAAGACAGATGAAGCTCCCTTCATCTATTATTCATGAGCTTGTTAGAACAGGAGGAAGCACATTAGTTGCATTAAGGATATTACATTGTTTTAACGAACTTCTTTTTGGTGCCCATTAATGGGAATTTTGAGGAGCCCAACATGGTTTCTTCAATTTGTGGCTGTGAAGTACTCTGATTTGCTTTGGTAAATAACAGATGCATGTGGAAATGGGCGCTTTGAAAGCCTCGTGAACTTCAGAAGGTAAGAGGTAGGTGTGTATGGAGGGTGGGCGGCAGAACTAAATACCAAAGGAAAGTATCTCTGCTGCAAATGAAACTTTTTAGCTGGTCAGTTTCTATGTGCAGTTGGCAAATTACTAAACAGTGTGTGGAGGCTGGCAAGATAGTGGCAGAGGCAGGGAGCAAGGAATGGATTATGTTAGTGAGAAGGAGAAGGTCTGGTTTATTAAATTCACCATTTTAATGTTTGCTGGAAGCATGAATCTTGGTTAAGTCTAACATGCAGTAAATGCTGAACTTGATTAAGGTAGTATTCTGATGACTGATGTGGCCCATTCGTGCTACCAAAATCTTGCCTCTAGGTGGTTGGTTCCACCCTGTTGAGATGCCTATTTAGAAATTCACCCAGAGGTGGCCTTTTAAAAGTCAGATTTTAATAAAACAAAATAAAAGGGCATATTGGGAACGACTGAATGCCTATCCTGTAATGAGGAGGCTATGGCATGTGTTATGTAGTTAATATTAGTAGGCTTCTATACCACAGACTGTAAATGTTCTGTCAGATGTTCCTTGTTATTCCTCACCAAGGATGCAGCAAAGACCCAAGGAATTCGTCTCTGTCCTGGGTGATAACCACACAGCCTAGTTGCAAAGTCTGAAATGAGGGTCATGATCTATTCTAGCGAACTGCGGAGGTACCAGTCAGCCTTGGGCTGGTCTTGCGAAAATATTCTTTGGAGTGCTGGGTACCTGTCAGGCACTGGGCCAGGTACAAAGTTGAGCATGATAAGGTTCCTGTCCTTGGGAAGATTGTAATCTCATCACAGGATTTTCCTAAGGCTGGGTGAAAGGGGAGGAGGTAGGGAGATTGGTTCAGCACTGTGTCATGGGATGGATGCCACTCCACATCCTCTTTCCTGCCAGAACCATAGGTGGCTGATGTCTGGACAGATCCTGCAGATGAGCCCTGATTTCAAATAGTTTGTTTCTTTGTCAGGCATAATTAGTAAATTATGATTTAGAAAATAAGCACAAAGTAAGAGCAATAGGAGTCAACGTTTTCTGAACATCTACTATGTGCCAAACATTATCTTATTTCTGGCTGGGCGTGGTGGCTCATGCCTGTAATCCCAGCACTTTGGGAGGCCAAGGTGGCTGGATCACAAGGTCAGGAGATTGAGACCATCCTGGTTAACACAGTGAAAACCCCTCTCTACAAAAAAATACAAAAAAATTAGCCAGGCGTGGTGGCAAGCGCCTTCAGTCCCAGCTACTTGGGAGGCTGAGGCAGGAGAATGGCATGAACCCGGGAGGCAGAGCTTGCAGTGAGCTGAGATTGTGCCACTGCACTCCAGCCTGGGCGACAGAGCGAGACTCCATCTCAAAACAAACAAACAAACAAACAAACAAACAAACAAAAGCCACATTATCTTATTTCTTTCTCATGAATACAGTGTGAAGAGCCAATTCAGTTTTTCTAGCAGCCTGTGTTGCAGATGAGCAAACTGAAGTCCCTTGAGAAGTCACTTGTTACCCACATGCCTTTTCCACATTGATGTAGAATTCCGAAGTTCAAAGCAGCAGTAAGGAATGAATGATGTCGAGGTGAAATGGTGCAGGCTGGTGAAAAGGAAGGAGGGAAAATGAACAGGAGTGTAGCTGTGTGTCTTTGGTGGAGGTGGAAATGCTGCTCCAGATTTTGAAGCAAGGGGGCTATTTCTGTCCTACTCCTGGGGAGTTGAGAGCCTTCAGGAAAGGATGTGCCTAATTGGTAGAGGCGTGGGCAGTGAGGAAGAAGGAGAATGGGGAAGATGAGACTCTGTGGAATGATTCTGAAGGCTCGTCTCCCACCCTCATTAGCTAGACAGATTCAGTTGCTAAGCAAGTACCTGAGAGGTGGGGAACCTGGCTGGAAGAGGGGGAATGTGGCCGGGAGAGGGGCAGAGACAAGGGCAAGGAGAGTGAGACCACAAGGAAGGTGGAATCCTGAGTAAGCATGGAGTCAGGATTCCAAGGTGACATAAGTGCATGGCTGTCATTTACTCTGAACTTTAGGAGGATTTTACCAGTATTTAGAGAAAAGGTTTCCATAGTCCTCTCTGCTTATTTAGAAAAATGATCCTTTGCTACGGCTATCTTGATACATTCTCATAATAACCACAATGGCTAGCACTTTGGAGCACTTGCTATCTGCCAGACACAGAATCATGTAGTTCTCCCAGTGTCTTACTGAGTATTATTATGACTATTATTAATGTGGTTGCTATTATTATCCCTCTTTTACAGATATTGAAACCCAAGCTCAGTAATAACACAGAGAGTAAGCAACCCTGGACATTTGATGTAACCACCGAGAGTTACTGTCTCTCTCCTGGGACCTCACCTATCCATTCTCCTCACTCTGATTGGCCTAGGAATCTGTCATTCATGCCAAACAATGGGTTACAGTAATTGGAAAACCCCAAGCAAGAGTGCCATTTATTTATTCATTCAGTAAATACTTATTAAACTTCTCATGTGCACCAGGCAGAGTGTCAGGCTCTAGAAGAAGAGTGAGAAGCAAATGATCCACGGTCACTTCCTTCACACTGCTTACAACCTGAAGGAGGAGACAGACACAATGCCAATAATCATCATCACATAAATACATCCCCACAGAAAATGCTCTACATATCACATAATGAACAGTTGTACTAGGGAGACTGACCCAGTCAGAGATTCAAGGGAGATGTCCTGGAGTCAGTGATACATGCTGAAGGCAGCAGGTGGACAGGAGATTTTTAGGTGACGGGAGCCAGGGGAAGGTTTGGTGGTCAAGATGGTGATTCCACATAGAAGCTACAGCAAGGGTAGAGGCCTGAGTCAGGGGGAAGCAGCAGAAGTGAAGATTGAAGACAGGTTCCAGTGGCCTGAGAGCAGAGTGAAGGGGAAGGTGGTGAGAAGTGTGACTGCAATGCAGAGAGGTACCAGCCCTCTTGGGGTTTCAGGGCCACACCAAGACATTGTACTTTTATTCTCAGAGTAGAAAGCCACTGGAAGGCTGTAAACAGAGGCAAGAGAGAGATGCTCTGCCTGCTTGTGGGGAGTGGGAGTCGAAAGGGGAGCTAAGTGGGTGAGGAGTGACCATTGAGTCCAGATTTAAGATGGTGGCATCACAATAAGGATGGTGATAGTAGGGTGGAGAGAGAGGGTTGGATCCAAGAGATGTGGGCACCATGGATGCCTGGCAAGGAACCACAAGGCCACACTTAGGGTCCATAAGAGATGGTTTTGTTGAATGCATTTAACATGCAATGGTGGTACTCTCTATTGGATGGAAAGTCAACTTGGACCCACTAGCTTTAAAATACTTTGGTGACATAGAGGTGCCTGCTATTTGTCGTCAGAAGGAATTTCAAGGAAACAGATAATTTCTGCTGGGTGGAGGAAGAGGAAAAAGGAGACTGCTTAGAGTACCTCAGTATTGGCCATTGGTTCTCTGGTTGCCTCTGCTTGCTTTGGAAAGTAAAATGAAAGAATGGCAAGACTCACCTTCCATAAAAGACCTGGTTTTTGGTGTAATCTGCTGGTAAGTGGCAGAAGTCACTGGGTAGCTTTGGGTACATTATTGCCCATTTCTTGCCTTCTGCTTCTCCATTTGTGGTGTGAAGGAGACGGATGATATGATCTCCAGTGAGTCTTACCTTTCTAAGAGTCAGAGGTTTCCTAAGATCCACCTTATCCCACCAGTACATGTCATATGACAAAATATCACAGATAGCCTCAACCTAGAGACTGGAGGTGGCAGAAGATATTGAGTCAATAGTATATAGACAATATCACTATTTTTGTGAGTCTAACTTTTTATAGTAATAGGCATGTGAACACCCCAAATAAATAGCAAAGTGCACCAAATGTTAGGTTTAACCCAATTTTGTGCACTAAGGCACAAAATGGAACAGAACAAATAAATAACACAGAAAAAGACACCACAAGAAGTGTAAAGCAACAGAGAAGAATGAATAGTCACTGCTAATAATGACTTACGTTCAAAAAGAACATCAACTTCTCTGAGTTTTGATTTCTCCAACTGTAAAATTGGGATGAAAATGTTTACCTTGCATGGTTCCTGCATAGATTACATGAGATAATGAGAATAAAGTGCTTAACTTGGAGCCTGGCATATGGTATGACTCAGTAAATTCACCCTTTATACAAATCTTTATTGAGCACTTACTATGAATTGGGAAGCATTTTAGACCCTGAGACAATGAACAAGACAGAGGAGGTCCTTATTCTCATGGTGCTTCCATTTTAAGTGGGGAAAGAGAAAGACTGAACAGATGTGCAAGGACACATAAGAGAATATAATAATGCTATAAAGAAAATGAAGCAAGGTGATGGGGCTTTAAGTTGGGTGGTCATCTCTGACTTGAGTTTAAGTCAAAACCCAAAAGACAAGAAGGAGGCAGCCAGGCAGGTGTGAAGGAAGTCACCACCATCTCCCCCACCAAGGCAGTCAGAAAAGTCAGGCATTAGACCCAAAGCCTGGGCAAGGTGGACCTACTGGAGGAGCAGAGGAAGCGCGGGGAGGATGAACAGAGTGAACAAGCAGAATGAATGGAGAGAAGACAGAGAGTGCACCTTGCAAGGTCACACTAGGGAATCTGTGTCTTATTCTGAAAGCAATGGGAAGCCGTGGAGGGTTTTAGGTAGAGGGGTAATCTAATCTATTTATATTTTTAAAAGATCACTCTGTTTCTTGTGCAGATCCTGGAGTGGAGCAACAGTAAAGGTACAACAGGGAGACCAGTGAGGAGGCTGTGGTCAATAATTTGCACAAAAGGGCATGATTATTCTTCTTCCAGTCTCCATGTCACTTACAGAGTGACTTTTCAGCCATTCTTGTCAAAGGATAGAGTCTGTTTCTCCATGGCTTGAATTTGTACTTGCCTTGTTACTTTCTTTCTTCAATGGAATGGGGCAGAAGTCACAGTATACTCAAGTGTAGAACTCAAGAGACCTTGCATGCGTTCTTGGAACTGACTCAACCATCATGTGTACAAGCCAGGGCTGACCTGCTAGAGCAAGGGAAACCAGGTGGAGCAGAGAGGAGATATCTCGGCAGAGGCCATCTAAGACCACCCAGCCCCAGCCTTACCCAGAAGCCACAAGAGTGAGCCCAGCAGAGACCAGAAGAACAACCCAGCTGAGCCCAGCCCTAATTATTGACCCACAAAATTGTGAGCTACATAATTGGTTTTGTTCTAAACCAATAAGTTTTGGGTGGTTTGTTACACAGCAAAAGCTTGCTGACATAGGCTGCTGAGATTGTCCAGGCCTAAGATGATGATAACTTGGATTACAGAAATAGTGACTATGGAGGGATGTAACATGATTTGGCATATGTGTTGGAATTAGTGTTGAAAGGATTTGATAATTGATTGCCATTGAAGGTGAGAGAAAAAGATAAAGAACAGAGGAAGAGAGCAGCAACCAATGATAACATAGTCTTCAGGTTGAGAGTTCGAGTGTGACCCTAGATGGTTTTCTAATTTGCTGATTTTCTAAAGGCATAAATCAAGAAAGAATGGTTCAATGTCAAACATATCCATTGAGTACCTACCATCTGCTAGGGCCTGGTGATATTAATATTAATATTAATGGTCAACAGTTATATAGTACATTCTGAGTATTAGGCACTGTAATAAGAAATTTACATCTAACTAATACTTGTAATAAGCATATGAAGTGGGTATCACTGCTATCTGCATTTAATTAAGAAATAGGAAAGGAAAGGTTGAGTAACTTGCTCAGTATCACATAATGAGTAATTAACAAAGCCAGAATACTAACTCTAACAGTCTGACTTCAGACTCAGACTATTAACCACCATGTTTTGCTAAGAAACGAGTAGGCTGAGATTTTCAATTCAAGAAGGTATATTCTAGTGTAGGGATGGATATGTAAAGAAAGTGATTCCATATAATGTAGTGTGTGCTGTGATATGGTGCTTTAGAATGGGAATGGGCACATTTTGTCTGCAAAGGGTCAGAGAGGAAATACTTTAGGGATTGCCAGACATATGGTCTCAGTTACAACTAAACTTTGCTGTTACAGCATGAAGCAGCTAGACAGAAGGCAAACAAATGAGTGTGTCTATGTTTCAATAAAACGTTATTTATAGAAACAGATGGCAGCCCAATTTGGCCTACAGGCCACAGTTCATTGACCTCTGCTTTAGTGAAGAAATAAAAAAAAGCCCCAATCCAGATTAAGGGGAAGGAATGAGTTCAGACAAGTCTCACTCGAATTTGAACTTAAAAGGCAAGTAATAGTAATCCAGGCAAAAGAGTACCTTGAGTAATTTGCTCAGTATTTCATAGCGAGTAAGTAACAAAGCCTTTTGAGGCAGATGGCAGTATCAGGCTGAGGGCACAGCACACAGCAGTGCACAGAGTGGTACTGGGAAGTCCATGGCAGGAAAGGTAGTATTACTGAAGCACAGAGTGTCAAGTGGAGCATTGGGGAGTTGAGTCTGTAGGAGGAAGTGGGATCCAATTGTTAGATCCTCTGATGAGGCTTAGGGGGAAGCTGGTGAGGCCCGCCATGTACCAGGAGAGTGATACACTCAGGTTTTCATTTCTTAGAAAGTATTCCATGTATGAAGCTGGAAACCATCATTCTCAGCAAACTATCACAAGATCAGAAACCAAACACCACATGTTGTCACTCATAAGTGGGAGTTGAATGACAACACATAGACACAGGGAGGGGAACATCACACACTGGGGCCTGAGGGGAGGTGGGGTGCTAGGGGAGGGATAACATTAGGAGAAATACTTAATTAGGTGACAGGTTGATGGGTGCAGCAAACCACCATGGCATGTGTATACCTATGTAACAAAACTGCACGTTCTGCACTTGTAACTCAGAACTTAAAGTATGTATATATAAAAAAGTATTCCATGTAACAGTATGGGCTGTGGATGGGGACAAAGCTGCAGAAGAAGCAAAAGGACCAGGACCCACATACATGAGTGGAGGAGGGAGGATTAGGTGGGTGACATCACATAAGAAAAGGGAGAAAGGAGAGAGAGAACATTAAAGGAGAGAGAGAACATGAAAGGGAGAAAGCAAGGGGAGAACATTAAAAAATGCAAAAAGGGTAGGGGGAGGGGAGAATGAAAAATGTTTCAAATCAAACCACTTTCACTCATCCTCCTACTTCTCTCTGTGTAAACAGCAGGCACTGCTGGGAGAAAGCATTTGGCAGAAGATAAATGCCCAATTGTAAAGGGGTCCTGATTTACCTGTAACTTAAACATTTGGTTTTATTTCTTTTTCTGTGGGTGGAAAAGCAAACACCAAGGCCCTACTGTGGCCTGAGGAAGCAGGCAGGCTTTAGGGAAGAAAATGCTCTCCAGAGGGGCTATGAGCTGGAAGAATATGCAAGGGCCCATCTGTAGGCCCAGCCTTGCTCAAGCTGTGAAGCTGGAGGGACCTCTAGGATCTGCCACCAAAGGGCAACATTATCACCAATATTTTAATTTATCTGCACGGGAAATAACATTGTCAGCAGCCATGTCTTCAGCTGTGAAGGACAACTGTAACTATACATATCTACATATCTAAGTACGGCCAGTGGGCTCATAAAGAAAACCCAGGCATCCTGGTTTTAACGGTTCCTGAAGAGCTCCCTGCGGAAAGTACCTCTGTGGCTGCCGGCTGTCTCTGACGAGAAGCACACACGGACATATGCACACCCACCATCATTTTTCAACCACTTGCATTATTTGAAATCTGATTGCCTCCTGTTTGCCAGAAAACCCATACAACTTGGGTCAGGAAGAGAATTTTTTTTTTTTTTTTTTTTTTTTTTTTTGAGACGGAGTCTCGCTGGGTCACCCAGGCTGGAGTGCAGTGGTGCGATGTGGGCTCACTGCAAGCTCCGCCTCCTGGGTTCACGCCATTCTCCTGCCTCAGCCTCCCAAGTAGCTGGGACTACAGGCGCCCCCCCACCACGCCCAGCTAATTTTTGTATTTTTTTGTAGAGACGGGGTTTCACCGTGTTAGCCAGGATGGTCTCGATCTCCTGACCTCGTGATCTGCCCATCTCGGCCTCCCAAAGTGCTGGGATTACAGGCGTGAGCCACTGTGCCCGGCTGAAAATATTTTATTATTATTTTTTCTTAAAGGTCCTAGATTGGGTGAGAGTTGTATGTATTGGGAAGAAAAATCAGCTACTTCTCTTCCTTGTAGACTGAGTATTTTGTTTGTTTTGGGGCGTGTGATTTCTGTTTGTGAGTTCTGGGATTGACAAAGCCCATAGCAGAAATGAAGGCTTGGCATTTAAGGGAATTGGCATCTGATCCACCACACGTTGCAGGAAAAGATGATAGCTACACGCCCTTCGATTTACAAATGTCCCTCTCCTGCACCAGATACTGAGGCTACACAGATTTGCGGTTATAGGTCACTTAACTTCTCTTTGGCTCATAAGAAATCTGTAGGTGCTCAGCAGAAAAGAAAAGGTTAAGCAGCGCAGCATGTTTAAATTACCCAAAGCACTAGAGTTATACTTGCAGAAGGCCCCAGAGCCCCAGCGATAAAATTCAGAAAGGGAAAGCTCTGATTCTGATGAGCTGTACAACTTTCCTGGAACAAGCGAGGGGTGGGCAAGAGAACGGGGGGGCAGAGAGCATGCATCTCTCTGGGCACAGGAGCGTCCTTCAGGAGCTGAGTGCTCAGCTGCTGAAGGTATGAACCAGGAACTTGTGGGGCAAGTTCCAGACCAGTCCTCTGAGCTGGACCAGGGTAGGCCATGGCTTCTGCCTTGGCAGGCAGGTCTTGAGGCTCCCCTGATGATCTCAGGAGCTCTAAGGAGGGGGCTGAAGTGAGCAAACACAGGGTCCACCAGGATTTATTGGAGGCTTCCTGGATGTCTGGTACTCTGTCTCTTTTATTTTGTTGAGTCTTAATTTACCCCGTTGTACAGGTGAATAAACTAAGACTTGGAGAAAGCAAACAGCTTGCTCAATAGAACTGAAGAAAAGGAACTCTTTTACATATTGTTTATGGGGAGGGAGGAAATATGCTTTTTATTTTAGATCCAACTTTGACTAAACCCTGCCCTCAGTCTGAGAAATAGGCACTGGGAAGGCCAGTTAGCCAACACTGGCTCTTTGAACTGGTTCCAGCACCTGGCATCCAGGGGAGGTGAAAAACAGTCATTACCAACTGTTGGGTACTAGCTCTGTGACTATCCCTCTATAAACACTGTGGGCATTAGCTCGTTTAATGAATCCCCATTGTATAGATGAGGAAACCTGGTTCACAAGTGTTAGATGTGTCTTTCAACAGTGCTCAGTAAAAATACAATAGAACTTCTAAAAATAAAAAAAAATCATTATTTCATGATCACTGGCTAGATCCATTAATAATATGCATATTTTAATTTTATTTTTAAAATCATCGTACAGTAAAACTGACCTTTTTTTCTCATACAGTTCTATGTATGACACACATACATCTAAAGTTATATACTTCTATGACTTCTAACAAATATGCAGATTTGTGTGACCACCACCACAATCAGGTTACAGAATAATTCCACCAACCTCAAAACCTCTCTTTTGCTATTCCATTCTAGTCACACCCTTTCCTATCTATAACATTTGTCAAACACAAATCTGTTCTCCATCAGTATAGTTTTGTCTTTTCAAGAATATCATATAAAAGAAATCACAGTTATCTTTGAGGCTGACTTCTATCATTCAGCATAATACTTCTGAGATTCATCTAAATCATTGTATGCATTAGCAGTTCATTTATTTTTATCTGAGTAATGCTCCATTGTGTGGATAAACCACAGTAAGTTTGTTCATTCATCCACTGAATGGCATTGGGATTGCCTCTAGTTTGGAGGTGATTATGAATAGAGAAGCTATACACACTTTCTTTATGAACTTTTGAATCAGCTTATTTATGCTCAGAATTGTCTGAGCATAAATTTTCATTTCTCTAGGGTGTGTATAGAGGAGTTGGATTACTGGGCCATATGGTAATATATGTTTAAGTTTATAAGAAACTGCCAAACCATTCTCCAGAATGGATGTGCCATTTTGCATTCTGACCAGTAATGTTTCAAATGTCTAGCTTCTCTGCATCATCACCAGTACTTGGTGTTGTATTTTTAAAATACTAGCTGTTATAATAGACATATAGTGCTATCTTCTTGTGGTATTGTATTTCCCTTACGGCTAAAGATGTTAAACATCGTTGATGAAGTGTCATTCTAGTCTTTTGCCCATTTTAAAATTGGGTTTGTTGAGTTTCACAAGTTCTTCATGTATGCTTCATGCTACTTCTTTGCCAGATACGTCACTTGCAAAGATTTTCTTCCAGTCTATAGAGTGCGTTTTCAATCTTTTAGCAATGCCTTTTGCAGAGTAAAAGTTTTAAATTTTGATAAAATTCAATTTATCTTTTTTTTTCTTTTATGGATCATGCTTTTGGTGTCATATCTAAGAACTCTTTGCCCAACCCAGCACACAAATATTTTCTGCTATGTTTTATTCTAAAGGTTTTATGGTCTTATGTTTTATATTTAGATTTGTGATCCATTCTGAGCTAAGTTTTGCATATAATGGGAGGTATGAATTGAAGTTCTTTTTTGCATATGGATATTTGGAGTACCATTGAATTGTCTTTATACATTTGTTGAAAATCCATTTGCTATATTTGTGTGGGTCTACTTTACAATTCTGTATTCTAGTCCATTGCTCTATATGTCTATTCCTCCACAAATACCATAGTGTCTTGATTACTGTAGCTTTATTAGAAGTCTTAAAATCAGGTAAGTTTACTACTCAACTTCTTCCTTCATTTTAAAAATTGTTTTAACCATTCTAGTTTTATTGCCTTTCTCTATGAGTTTTTGAATCGGCTTATCTATCTACAAAAGGTCCTGCTGGGATTTTGGTTGAATTTGTGTTAAGTTTATAGATCAATTTGAAGATAAATGACATCTTTACTATGCTGAATCTTCCAGTCCATGAACATGGAATAAAGTCCATTGATTTAGGACTTTGATTTATTTTACCAGCACTTTGTAGTTTTCAGCATACAGATCATATATGCGCTTTGGTAGATTTATAATTATATACATTTTTAATTTTCTTTAATAGTGCCCTCAAAGACTGTACTAATTTATCTATCTACTAGTGGTTGAGAGTGTCTATTTCTCTACATTCGTACCCACAGTGGATATTGTTAAAAGTTTTAAAAATTGTTTTGTTTATTACATATTTATTTTAAAGTGATTTATTTTGTTGGGTGGACAGAGTTGTCTTCCTCTAACTTTCTTTAGATCTATCCTGCTGAACTTAGAGTGAGTGTCCTGAACACAGAGCAAGTGGGAGTACCGTATTACACAGATAACTCCTACCTCTTCCCACACCAAAAGAAAGGCTGCTCTGAGCCTAGCTTACCATCTTTTTAACTTTATAAGGAATGAAACTGACTAGTTTTGAGATGAGCACTTTGGCTCTGAGATTCCCTGAGATAGTTCAGAATACATGAGCTATGGATTGATTGCTGGAATCAATCAAGTTGAATTTCTAGCTCTGCCATTGACTTAAGACATGAACTTGAGGAAAAAGCCTTGCTATCCAGGCCTCAGATTCTTGTAAATTTAATAAGAGTGAAGATCCAAAGATTGTTCTAGTCTGTGGTTCTAATTTATATAAATGACCAATTACATGTCTCATGTGAAAAATAAAGAGAGGAATGAAGAAAAATTAAAAAGAGAGTAAAGGAAATTCCTTAAAGGAGAAGCAGCATACAATGTCTGATTTCTGTGTTCCTAGGAAGTGACTGGTTGTCCAAATCAGCAGTCACCCCTAGGGAACCTTCCTGGGAGGGAGTGGATGACGTCAGTCAGCTCAGAACAAGTCTCAGTGTCTGATGACCTCCTGATTGTGTGTCAGAAACCCTATTTGCACACTCAAAGATAGCTGTGGTTAAAAAACTTTCTTAGCCATCTTTTCAGTATTGTGATTATACTTCCTTTGCACAATAGACCAATAAATGTGTTAATCTTGTTGATTTCATATGTAAACGTGGCTTTTGAAAATGCCAGTTTCCTGCAGGAAGAGGTGGTAAATAGAAAATAGAGGAAAAAGATAGTAATTTTTCAGTAGAAGGATTGGAGGTTCAGAAAGGTAAAGACACTTGCAATCCCACAATTATTAATTGAGGCCTGATTCAGTGGAAGGTGCTGTCCTGGGTGCTGAGGGGTCAGAGATGAGCAAGTCATCTTTGTCGCTACTATTAGTGACATAAGAAATGTACAAAGAGATAAAGTGGGGAAACTTTTATGCACACTCGGGTCTTTCAGCCTCTAGCATCACTTTAGAGCCTACTTAGCCATGTTGCTTTCAGTATCTGTGACATGTGTGGCTGAGAACAGGAATTCAGCATTCTGCTTCTGGTGAGCCCCAATATTTCCTAACCTAGTAGAAAAGTAGCTTTGTCCTTTTCACTGATGACTAGGCATTTTATTATAAAACTGTTGCTGTTATAATAACACTACATTTATCAAAGGCATTTCACATACTAAAAAATATTGATTGACAGTCTCTAGTTTAACTTTTCACTTTGAAATAATTATAAATCCGCAGGAAGTTGCGAAGAGAGTAGATCAGTTCCTGTGCCCTTCACCCAGTTTCATAAGCATATACATACATATATATATATATATACATACATAAAGCTATGCATTACTACAGTACATCAAAGTCAGGAAACTCACAGTGGTGCAGCATGTGTGTATAGTTCTGACATTTAATCACCTGTGTAGATTTGTGTAACTACCACTGAAATCAAGAGATGGCATAATTCCATTACTGTAACTGAGTAGTTTAGCTTCAAAACACATTTTTTTTTTTTTTTTTTTTTTTTTGAGATGGAGCCTCGCTCTGTCACCAGGCTGGAGTGCAGTGTCGCGATCTCGGCTCACTGTAACCTCTGCCTCGCGGGTTCAAGCGATTCTCCTGCCTGAGCCTCCTGAGTAGCTGGGACTACAGGCGGGTGCCACCGCACCCAGCTAATTTTTGTATTTTTAGTAGAGGTGGGGTTTCACCATGTTGGCCAGGATGGTCTTGATCTCTTGACCTCGTGATCTGCCCGCCTTGGCCTCCCAAAGTCTTGGGAATACCGGTGCAAGCCACCGCGCCCAGCCCAAAACACACTTTAAAAGCTTTTTTTCTTTTATCCTTTCTTTTCACTCTCAAGATGTAACCTTGAAACAAAATCCTTTTCTCTTAGTCTTAAAATGTAGCCTTGAAACTTCACTCCCTTCCCTTTCTCACTGTGTACTCCTTTTACCCCAGGCATATGTATCTAATTGCATCTTTGTATCTAATTCTGTGCTTACTTAAAAGTTCCAGGGACTAATCTTGAGACAGACCAAGCATGGAGACAAAGCTGAAAAACTCCAGAGGTTACCCCAAGGTGGTTAGTCAACAACCCGGCCATTGTTACTGATCCCAGCCTGTGCTCCAGGTGGACTAGGGCTCAAGGTGGCCCCTGGAAATAGACACACATGTTACAGGAAAGGGGTCCGTATCCAGACCCCAAGAGAGGGTTCTTGGATCTTGCACAAGAAAGAATTCGGGGCAAGTCCATAAAGTGAAAGCAAATTTATTAGGAAAGTAACGGAATAAGAGAATGGCTACTCCATAGACAGAGCAGCCCCGAGAGCTGCTGGTTGCCCATTTTTTTATGGTTATTTCTTGATTATTTGCTAAAGAAGGGGTGGATTGTTTATGCCTCCCCTTTATAGACCATATAGGGTAACGTTTAGACCATAAAGGGCAGTTGATGTTGTCATGGCATTTGTAAACTGTCATGGCACTGGTGGGAATGTAGCAGTGAGGACAACCAGAGGTCACCCTTGTTGCCTTCTTGGTTTTGGTGGGTTTTAGCTGGCTTTGTTTTTTTTCTCTGCAAGCTGTTTTATTAAAAAGGTCTTTATGACCTGTATCTTGTGCTGACCTCGTATCTCATCCTGTGACTTAGAATGCCTAACTGTCTGGGAATGCAGCCCATTAGGTCTCAGCCTCATTTTACCCAGCCCCTATTCAAGACGGAGTTGCTGTGGTTCAAATGCCTCTGACACACAGACCTTGTACTGAGTACCCTACCGCATACCTCCCATTCCAAGTTCTTATTTTTAGGCCCCTCTCCCCAGCCTAAATTTCAAAGTGGTTTCTCAGCCATTCCTTACTACCAGCTTTGGAAATAAAGTCACTTTCCTTTTACTGGACTTCATCCTTGTTACCGGCTTTGCAAGTGGCAAGCAGCCAAGCCTACTCTTGGTTACATTACCACAAAGATCTCCCTCATGCTACCCTTTGATGGCCAACCCCACCTTCTTCCCCACACCATGCCTACCCGCTGGAAACCCTTAATTTGTGTTCTAACTCTATAATTTTATCATTTTGAGATTGCCATGTAAATACAATCACATAGCATATGCTCTTTTGAGACTGGCTATTTTTCATTAAACATAATGCCCTGAGATCCAGCCAAGTTGTGTGTATCAATAGTTCTCTTTTTATTTCTGAGAAATATTCTATGACATCGATGTACTGCATTGGTTTAACTGTTTTCTTAGGGAGGGACGTTTTTGTTGTTTCTGGTTTTTGGCTATTATAAACAAAGCTGCTATGAACACTTGTGTACATGTTTTTGTATAAACATATATTTTCATTTATTCTGAGACAAACATACAATGAGTGTAACTGTTGGGTCACACGGTAAATGTATGTTTAGCTTTGAAAAGAAACTGCCAAAGTATTTTCTAAAGTGGCTGCACCATTTTACACTCCCACCAGCAATGCATGAGGGATCCAGTTTCCTCATATCCCTGTCAACATTTGGGACTATCACTACTTTTAATTTTAGCTGTGGCTAGTGATAGTGAACATCTGTGTTTGTTCATGTGGTTTGCTTGCTTGCTTGCTTCCTTCCTTTTTTTTTTTTTTTTTTTTTTTTTTTTTTTTTTTTGACAGAGTCTCATTCTGTCACTCAGACTAGAGTACAGTGGCAGGGGGATCTTGGCTCACCTCGACCTCCTCCTCTGAGGCTCAAGCGATTCTTGCGCCTCAGCCTCCCAAGTAGCTGGGATTACAGGCACGCGCCACTACCACCTGGCTAACTTTTGTATTTTTAGTAGAAGTGGCATTTCAACATGTTGGCCAGGCTGGTCTTGAACTCCTGACCTCAGGTAATCCACATGCCTCAGCCTCCCAAAGTACTGGGATTAATGGCGTGAGCCACGGCATCCGGCCTCTCTCCCTCCCTTCCTCCCTCCCTTCCTTCCTTCCTCTTTTTTTTTCTTTCTTTTTCTTTTTTTTTTTTTTTGAGACAAGTTCTTGCTCTGTCACCCAGGCTGGAGTGCAGTGACCTGATCAGGGCTCACTGCAGCCTTTACTTGGGATTTTTAAATTATTGTGGAAAGTTTTTAAAAATATTTTCTTGATAATAGTCTTTTGTCAGATGTGTAGTTTGCAAATATTTTCTTCCACTCCACAGCTTATTTTTTATCCCCTTAATAGGTCTATCTCAGAGAAAATGTTTTTTATTTTATTTTGATGAGATCAAATGTATCAATATTTCCTTTTATGGGTTATGCCTTTGATGTTATGTTTAAGAACTCTTAACCAAGCCCTAAATCCTGAAGATTTTCTTCCATGTCTTCTTCTCAGAGTTTTATAGTTTTATGTCTTACATGTAAATCTATGATCCATTTTGAGTTAATTTTTTATAAGATGTGAACTTTAGGTTCAAGCTCATTTTGTTTTGCTCTCATTGAATTACTTTTGAACCTTTGTCAAAAAGTAGTTGGCCTTCCTTATGTGAGGTTATATCTGGGTCCTCTAATATATTCCATTGATCTGTGTCTTTCCCTCTGTCAGGACCACACAACTTTGATTACTGTGGCTATATAATACATCTTGAAATTGGGTAAAGTAAATCCTCCCACTTTATTCATTCTTTCAAAATTGCCTTAGCTTTCTTGGCTCCTTTGTATTTCAATTTCAATTTCAATGGAGGAATAAGTTTTTTTCAACAAATGGTGCTCGAGAAACTGGATGTTGATAGGCAAAAAAAAAAAAAAAAAAAAACCAAAACCTTGACTTAAACCTCATAATTTACATGAAAGTTCACTCAAAATGTCAAAATGTATCACAGACTTAAATGGAAAATATAAAACTTCAAGAGGAAAACATAGGAAAAAAGTCTTCAGAACCAAGAGTTGGTGGAGAATTTCTAAAATTTGATACCATAAATATGATCCATAAAAATAAAATTTGAAAAATTGAACCTTATCAAAATTAAAAACTTCTGCTCTGCAACAGATCTGTTAAAGGGATGAAAATACAAGTTACAGAATAGGATAAAATATTTGCAAACCACATATTCAAAAAAGGCTAGTGTCTGTGATATATAAGGAGCTCTCAGAAATCAGTTGTAAAACAAACAATTCAACTAGAAAATGGGCAAAACATATCAACAGACATTTCATCAAAGAGGGTGAACAACAAAGCAGCACATGAAAAAATATTCAACATCATTGGCTTTTAGGGAAATGGAAATTAAAACCTTAGTAAGATGTAACTACACACCTATCAGAATGAGCAGAATAAAAAAATAGTGACAACATCAGATGCTGGCCAGGATGCATAGAAACTGGATCAGGCAGGCATTATTGATATAAAACGTATATCACTCTGGAAAGTATCTTGGCAGTTTATTATAAAATTAAACATGGAAATTCCATTTTTTGCATCTTGATGTTATAGCCAGCATTGTTGCTGAATTCTGATGAGCTCTAATAACATGGCTGTAGGTTATTTTGGCTATTCTATGTAGAAAATTATTTCTTTGAATTATTATCCTTTGTGCATTTCTTTCCCATTCTTTCATCTGGCACTTATTTTTTTTCTTTATATTGTGTTAGGTAAGACCTCCAGGACATGGTTGGACTGGGCAGAGTTACATTTTAAGACGTGAAGAAGAGCTTTCAGGGTGGAATGTGTTAGTCAGCTTCTCACTTTCAGATGAGTCAGGAAGGAAGGGGAGAGTTTGTTGAGTTTCTTTTTTGCAGAACCTAGAATCTTCTAATGTTTCATCATTAACTTTGAGGTTTGCTGTAGAGCTTTGCATATACCTTTTATGAGTGTAAGAAAGTTCTCTTCTACTCCTAGTTTTCCAAGACTTATTTGTTCTTTTGTAAATTGGTGTTGAATGTGGCAATTTTTAAAAACCATCTATCATTATGATCAATTTTTTTCACCTTTGTTAATGTGGTAAAATAAATTGTTAGATTTTATTATGTTTTTGTGTTTTTTTCATATTTTGGTGGGACTACCTTGTGTTCTGGGCTATGAAAGTATTCTTATAGAATAGTCTTAACTTTTGTTTCTTCCAAGACTCAGAGACTTCACTGTTTCTAAACTAGTTTTTCCATGAAATTCTGACTTCGGGATCCCCTTACCTTGTGATAAGTATAAAATCTGACCCTCTCTTCACTTGTGGAGTAAACTTAGACTTTTGACTTCAAGGGGGATTCTTTAGTTCTCTATTCAGACAGGTAGAAGACAGTCTTCTTTGCTGCTTTCTTGAGCTTATTCTAAGCCCTATTCTTCTAATCCTTGGGTAGTTATTCTCAAGTCCCTAGACCTTACTCCTATTTCTGGAGTGAATGATGCTGTACCACTATGGCATCAATTCAAACTCTAATTGATAGCTAATTCAAACTCTAAATACTTGGACCTTGAGCTATCTCTTTGTTTCTAGAGCAAGGAATTTCCTATAGGAGGAACTAAGTCAGCTCACTCTGACACATTCATAGAAACACTCTTCTTATAATTTTTTTTTCCTGGAGGAAATATTTTTTGATTTCCAAATTGCTGCCTATCATAAGAAAAATATAATATAAATATAAAGTGAATCCCTCTTTAGAGGTCCTACTAGCTACATTATCGGGATATTAGTGCCTACCTGGTGGAGTGATTGGGATGATTAAATAAAATAATGCCAGGTAATAAGTTTATTTCTGTTTCTGGGCATGGTAGTACTCAGTAATTGTTAATTAGTATTACAATGATTCAGATTGTTCAGTCTATCTAGAGGCACCTACTGCTCCATTAGAATAATGTTTATTTAAATAAACTTGTAGTTTTAGGCGGAGCTTGCAGTGAGCCGAGATCGCGCCCCTGCACTCCAGCCTGGGTGACAGAGCAAGACTCGTCTCAAAAAAAAAAAAAAAAAAAAAAAAAGGATAGTTTTAAATTTAAAAAAAAGTTGCAAGAATAGTAAAGAGAGTTCCCAAATACCCCTCACCCAGTTTTTCCCATTGTCCCATCCCATTCACGTTTTCCCATCTTACATTACCATTGCGCATTTCTTACAACTAAGGAACACAGTGGAGCAGTACTAAACTCAACATTTTATTTAGACTTTACTAGTTTTAACTTCATGCCTTGTTCTGCTCCAGGATCACCTCCATGATACCATCTAACATTTAGTTGACAAGTTTCTCTGGTCTGTGAAACTTGCTCAGTCTTTTCTTGTTTTCGATGACCTTGGTGGCTTGAAGAGTACTGGTTAGGTGTTTTATAAAATGCCCCTCAATTTCTGTCTGGGTTTGTCTGATGTTTTGCTCATGGTTGGACTAGGCAGGGTTACATTTTAAGACTGGAAGAGGAGCTATCAGGATGAAATGTGTTAGTCAGCGCTTCACTTTCAGATGAGTCAGGAAGAAAGGAGAGAGTTTGTTGAATTTCACCCCCAGGGTAATAACATAGGGAGGTCATCCAGTTAATTTTCCAAGGATAAAAATAGAAATAGCTACCACATATTTAACTCCTATTGTGTTATGTGTATGATTGATATATATATATATAGATGTATAGGTATCTGTGTTTGTGTTTATATTTATATCTATATCATTTCTATATACCTATATATACACATAAATGAATATATATACATTTATATCTACATTTATGTATACATAAATGTGTATATATAATATACATATATATATAAATAAAATAATTCTAAGTCCTAAAAAAAACTCATCCTGGTAAATTCTATTTTCATATTACAGAAAAAAAATGAGTATATTAGTACATTCTTACATGACTATAAAGAAATACCCAAGACTGGGTAATTTATAAAGGAAAGAGGTTTAATTGACTCACAGTTCTACATAGCTGGGGAGGCCTCAGGAAAATTACATTCAAGGAGGAAGGTGAAGGGGAAGCAAAACCCTTCTTCACATGGCAGCAGGAGAGAGATATCTTGTGAGAACTCACTCACCATCAGATCTCATGAGAACTCACTCATTACCATGAAAGCAGCATGGGGGAGACTGTCCCCATGATCCAATAATCTGTCATCATGTTCTTCCGTCAACACCTGAGGATTACAATTCAAGATGAGATTGGGGTGGGGACACAAGGCGTAACCATATCATTCTGCCCCAGCCCCTCTGAAATCTCATGCCCGTTTCACATTTCAAAACCAATCATGCCTTCCTAACAGCCTTCTAAAGTTGTAATTCATTCCAGTATTAACCCAAAACTTCAAGTCAAAAGTCTCATTTGCGACAAGGGAAGTCCCTTCTGCCTAGGAGCCTGTAAAATCAAAAGCAAGTTAGTTATTTCCAAGATACAATGTGGGTACAGGCATTGGATAAATGCTCACATTCCAGTGGGAGAAATTGGCCCAAACAAAGAAGAAACAGGCCCCATGCAAGTCTGAAATCCAGCAGGGCAATCATTAAATCTTAAAGCTCTGAAATAATCTCCTTTTACACCATATCTCACATCCAGGTCATGCTGATGCAAGAGGTGGGTTCCCACAGCCTTGGACAGCTCCACCCCTGTGGCTTTGCGGGGTTCATCTACACCCCTGATGCCCACCCTGACTGCTTTCATGGGCTGGCATTGAGTGTCTGCCACTTTTCCAGGGGCATGGTGCAAGCTGTCAGTGGATCTACCATCCTGAAGGAGGGTAGCCCTCTTCTCAAAGCTCCACTAGGTAGTGCCTCTGTGGGAACTCTGTGTGGGGGCTCCAACCCCATATTTTCTTTCCACACTGCCCTAGCAGAGGTTCTCCATGAAGGCTCTGCCCCTGCAGCACACCTCTGCCTTGACATTCAGGCATTTCCATACATCCTCTGAAATCTAGGCAGAAGTTCCCAAACCTCAATTCTTGTTTTTTGTATACCTGCAGGACCAACACCACATGGAAGCTGCCAAGGCTTGGGGCTTTTACTCTCTGAAGCAACAACCTGAGCTGTGTCTTCCTTTATAGCCAAACCTGGAGCAACTGGGATGTAGAGCACCAAGTCCTGAGGCTGCACACAGCAAGGGGCCCTGGACCCAGTCCCTGAAACCATTTTTCTCTCCTAGACCTCTGGGCCTGTGATGGTAGGGGCTGCCAGGAAGGTCTCTGACATGCCCTGGAGAGCATTGTCTTGGTGATTAACATTCGGCTCCTCATTACTTATGCAAATTTCTGCAGCTGGCTTGAATTTCTCCCCAGAAAATGGGTTTTTCTTTTCTATCAAATCATTGGGCTGTAAATTTCCCAAACTTTTGTGCTCTACTTTCCTTTTAAACGTAAGTTCCAATTTCAGACCATCTCTCTCAAGTTCAAAGTTCCACAAATCTCTAGGGCAGTGGCAAAATGCTGCCAGTTCTCTTTGCTAAAGTGTAGCAAGAATGACCTTTGCTCCAGTTCTTAAGAAGTTCCTCATCTCCATCTGAGACCACCTCAGCCTGGACTTCATTGTCCATATCACTATGAGCATTTTGGTCAAAACCATTCAACAAGGCTCTAGGAAGTTCCAAACTTTCCCAAATCCTTCTGTCTTCTGAGCCCTCCAAACTGTTCCAAACTCTGCCCATTACCCAGTTCCAAAGTTGCTTCCACATTTTCAGGTGCCCCACTTTTCAGCAGTGCCCCACTCTCTGTGGTACCAATTTATTGTATTAATCCATTCTTACACCGCTATAAAGAAATACCCAAGCCTGGGCAATTTATAAAGGAAGGAGGTTTAATTGACTCACAGTTCCACATGGCTGGAAACTTACAGGGAAACTGACAATCGTGGCAGAAGGGGAAGCAAGGACTTCTTCACATGGTGGCAAGAGGGAGAAGAGTGAGCAAAGGAAGAACTTGTCAAACACTTATAAAACTATCAGATCTCATGAGAACTCACTCACTATCCAGAGAACAGCATGGGTGAAACTGCCCCTAGGATCTAATCACCTACCACCAGGTTCCTCAACACTTGGGGATTACAATTCAAGATGAGATTTGGGTGGGGACGCAAAACCTAACCATATCAATGAGGCTCAGGATTTTTAAGTGATATCCCTGAGGCAGCCCCACTAACAGGTGCTTGAGTTGGGATTCAAACCCTCTCCAGCTGGCATCAGCTGGAAGAAGCCAGAAGAAGCCAGAGCTTCTTGAACTGCGCTGCACTGTCCCCTACTGGCTCCATTCTCTCATCATTGCTGATTAAGGATCACAGAGGTAAGAACTCTGCAAGATGTATTTGTACTTTTCTTAAGTTTTTTATTTTTTCTCCTGTTTTTCCTTTGGTGGTCAGTGGTAAGACTCCTAAAACAACAAAAAAAGAGCCTATGAGGTGCTTTTTGAGGCAGTCTGGAGGGAGACTGCAACCAGACCTTAGCATATCTATTCCCCTGGGGAAAGAGTGGGAACTTGCAGCTTTATGGGTGGAGGGAAAGTATTTGAGTCCCTGGAGACAAATGGGCACCAAGCCTGGGACTGAAAAGAGACCCGGGAGCATCTATATTTCTCAGCCACTTACCAAGGTGCTTTTTGGAATACAACTGCTCATAAGTGTTTGATTATAAAATAATAATGGTAATATTAATAATAACGGTGAATTTAATCTTTTCCCCAGTGAATCTATACTCATTCTGCTCATTTTCCTTGCTTTGTTTCTCTCCTCTGGGATTGCTCCCAGTTCAGACACTCTCTTTACTGACAGTAAAAATCTCAGGGTGGATGGAGTGCTGGGCAGGACCGAGACATTTACGATTATCCACTTATTGATTTGCTTCCCTAAAATTTGCTCATAGTCTTCCTAAACTTGCTGCAATCTGATGTCCTGATGACTCCCTTATTAGGTTCTGCTTTGGACAGAATTACTCAACCAAATTGGAATTCATGGTTATTATGAACCATTTCCAAGACATCACTCAAAAGCAAGTCAAGAGCTGATTCTTGCCTGCTTCTGCCTGTTAGATTTTGGATCAAGATTCGCATCCCATGTCATGCCCATTACTGTGAGGTTGTTGCTTTATTTATGACCTTTGCTTGGTGTGTTGCAGTCTATTTCTATTGTCGTATTTTCACCAACTCATACAAAATTCTTACTCTCACCTTGCACAGGGGTGGAAACTGCATGTCTGTGTTACTTTATTTAGCAGATGCCCGCACCAATTACAATTCCACTGGCTTTTCCTTCCCCCTTGGACAAGGTGGAGGAGAGTGAGTAAAACCAGGACTTTGTCTGTGTTTATTTTTAACCAAAGCCTCCTTAAAGCTTAAAAGATATCTCCTTTCTCAGGAAGCTGGCAGCTGTCTGGCCCAGGGACACAATTACAGCTTTGTCATTAAGACTAGAAGCCCTGAATTGATACCTCTTTCTCCTCTATTCAGTTTATGCTGATGCAAACTCATTTACCAGATCAGCATGGAGGAAAGCGTAACCTCTTTTGAGTGCTGAGAAGTGGGAGTTCAGGAATGCACTTATGTCAATAGGGAATCACTCTGCATTGCTTTCCCCAGAAGTTCCTGGATTTTTATCTTGCTTGTCACCTGCAAAAGAATCCTGACCCCTACAGACACTTAGTTGTGTGGATGTCAGTTAATGCGGTTTGCTTCAGGGCAATGAGAAGGCAGTTCTCTAGAGTGGAAATGACATAGGGATTGATAGTCCTAAATCCTACGTCAGCACCATCACTGGCTGGCTGTGTGGGCAAGCTACATTATATCTTGGAACTTTCATTTTCTCACCTATAAACTGGAAGTTAGAATATTCAATTCCCAGTGAAAAATATTCAGTATACTGCTTGAGCGTGTCCATTGCTATCTTAAGATGATTTAAAACAAAAAACTATAAACTTTTGTGTCAGGCCTCTGAGCCCAAGCTAAGCCATAGCATCCCCTGTGACCTGCATGTATACATCCAGATGGCCTGAAGTAACTGAAGAATCACAAAAGAAGTGATATTTAAATGGCCTGTTCCTGCCTTAACTGATGACATTCCACCACAAAAGAAGTGAAAATGGCCAGTCCTTGCCCTAACTGATGACATTACCTTGTGAAATTCCTTCTCCTGGCTCATCTTGGCTCAAAAAGCTCCCCCACTGAGCACCTTGTGACCCCCACCCCTGCCTGCCAGAGAACAACCCCCCTTTGACTGTAATTTTCCTTTACCTACCCAAATCTTATAAAATGGCCCCACCCTTCTCTCCCTTCGCTGACTCTTTTTGGACTCAGCCTGCCTGCACCCAGGTGATTAAAAAGCTTTATTGCTCACACAAAACCTGTTTAGTGGTCTTCACATGGACATGAGTGAAACTTTGGACTATGCTGAGGCACAGACATTTGGGGAACAGGCTTGGACCTTGGAGTTAGACAGACCTGGTCCAAGATCTGATTCTACCACTTATTAGCTTTATGACCTAAACAAATTGCAAAAATGTTGAGACTCAGTATCCTTACTTGTAAAAAGGGAAGAATTTTACGGAATACGTAACATATGTACAAAAACTATTAATGGTTTCCCGTTTGTTTGACCAGGACCCTGACCTTGACTACCACTTGTACAGGTCATTTAACATGGCTGATGTTTGGTCATTTGAGAAGGCGGTCATGTGGCTTGGTATTCTTAAGATAACCAGGCACCTGGAGATATTTTTTCCTTTTCTAAGTTGTTTATATGTGTGTGTGTCAGACACACATATATACAAATGAATATATACATTTATGCATATGTATGTGCGTGTGCATATATTTGTATGTGCTTTTCCTTTTTCTTCCAAAACTTTTTTCCCTTTTCTTCTTTCCATCTGTGATCCACTGTTGGCTATGTCACAGGTCTTCTAGGGACCTCAGGGTCAGCTCTACCATTTGTAACTATGAAGATTGCCATCCAATGCATTGAATAGGTGGGCTAAGTTTGGGATGTGTGTCTCTCCACTGCCCCTCCAAAGACTCTAAACACTCTGGAGATTTTGAAATCCCTACTTCTTGTATTATTACTTTCATGCACGTCCGTGTGAAGAGACCACCAAATAGGCTTTGTCTGAGCAACATGGCTGTTTATTTCACCTGGGTGCAGGCGGGCTGAGTCCGAAAAGAGAGTCAGTGAAGTGAGATGGGGTGGGGCTGTTTTATAAGATTTGGGTAGGTAAAAGAAAAAAATTACAGTCAAAAGGGGGTTGTTCTCTGGTGGGCAGGAGTGGGGGGGTCACAAGGTGCTCAGTAGGGGAGCTTTTGAGCCAGGATGAGCAAGGAGAAGGAATTTCACAAGATAATGTCATCAGTTAAGGCAGGAACAGGCCATTTTCACTTCTTTTGGGGTGGTATGTCATCAGTTAAGGCAGTAACCAGCCATCTGGATGTGTACGTGCAGGTCACAGGGGATATGATGGCTTAGCTTGGGCTCAGAGGCCTGACATTCCTGTCTTCTTATATTAAGAAAAATAAAATGAAATAGTAGTAAAGTGTTGGGATGGCGTAAGTTTTTGGGGGTGGTGTGGAGAGATAATGGGCGATGTTTCTCAGGGCTGCTTCGAGCGGGATTAGGGGCGGCATGGGAACCTAGAGTGGGAGAGATTAAGCTGAAGGAAGATTTTGTGGTAAAGGGTGATATTGTGGGGTTGTTAGAAGAAACATTTGTCATTTAGAATTATTGGTGATGGCCTAGATATGGTTTTATATGAATTGAAAAACTAAACGGAATAAGAGAAGGAGAAAAACAGGTATTAAAGGACTAAGAATTGGGAGGACCCAGGACATCTAATTAGAGAGTACCTAAGGAGATTCAGCATAGTCCTGCCAACAAAGATTATTATTTACTTTAAGAGTTAAGAGTGGCAGTTTGGGGATAGCACCAGGAGATATCAGCTGTGATGGCTTGGAGAAACAGTGTAAACCGGCGGTGTAAACAAGAGCAGGGCATGTATGAGTAGTTGAGAACGGTGAATAGGAGTATGACTAGACAGAAGATAGTAGGGATGACAAGTTTTTTTGGGCATAGTCCAAATTGGTCTGGTGTCTGGAAGGAGACTGGGGCCTAATAAAAAGGGGCTTCCATACAGGAGCTCAAATGGGCTGTACCCTGTAGCATTCCGAAGACAGGCCTGAATTCTGAGAAGGGCAAGTGGTAAAAGTATGCCCAGTCCTTTTTAAGTTGGTGGCTGAGCTTGGTGAGGTGTGTTTTTAAAAGACCATTAGTCCGTTCTACCTTTCCTGAAGACTGAGGACTGTAAGGGATATAAAGGTGTCACTGAATACCAAAAGCCTGAAAAAATGCTTGGCTGGTTTGACTAATAAAGGCTGGTCCATTATCAGACTGTATAGAGGTAGGAAGGCCAAACCGAGGAATTATGTCTGACAGAAGGGAAGAAATGACTGCGGTGGCCTTCTTAGACCCTGTGGGAAAGGCCTCTACCCATCCAGTGAAAGTGTCTACCCAGACTAAGAGGTATTTTAGTTTTCTGACTCAGGGCATGTGAGTAAAGTCAATTTGCCAGTCCTGGGCAGGGGCAAATCCCTGAGCTTGATATGTAGGGAAGGGAGGGGGCCTGAATAATCCCTGAGGAGTAGTAGAATAGCAGATGGAACACTGAGAAGTTATTTCCTTGAGGATAGATTTCCACGATGGAAAGGAAATGAGAGGTTCTAAGAGGTGGGCTGGTGGCTGGTACTATAGCATAGCCTGCCTTTGCTGGTATGTGGCGATTAGGCCTAGTGGAACTACTATCAATAAAACAAGTGTGTTCAGGGTGAGGAACAGGAAAGAAGGAAATATGGGGAAATGGGGTGAATGTCAGGTGGATCAGAGAGATACAGTCATAGGGGTTAGGTGTGGTATCCAGAATAATGTGGGAGGCTGGATTGAAGTCTGGGCCAGGAACAATGGTAATTGTGGGAGACTCAACAAAGAGTGAGTACAGCTGAAGGAGCCGGGGAGCAGACAGTATATGCATCAGGTGGGAGAAAGAAAATAGATTCTGGAAGTTATGAGAACTGTAGAGAGTGAGTTGAGCATAGTTTGTGATTTTTTGGGGCTCTAAAAGTATTAAAGCAGCAGCAGCTGCTGCACGCAGACGTGAGGGCTAGGCTAAAACAGTAAGGTCAAGTTGTTTGGACAGAAAGGCTGCAGGACGCAGTCCTGGCACTTGTGTAAGAATTTTGACCTTACTAACCATGCCTAGGAAGGAAAGGAGTTGTTGTTTTGTAGAAGGGATTGGGGTTTGGGAGATTAGCCAGACACGATCAGCAGGGAGAGCACGTGGGTTTTCATGAGAATTATGCCGAGATAGGTAACAGATGAGGAAGAAATTTGGGCTTGATTGAAGTAATGGGGGCTGTCTGTGAAGCCTTGTGGCAGTACAGCCCACGTAATTTGCTGAGCCTGATGGGTGTCAGGGTCAGTCCAAGTGAAAGCGAAGAGAGGCTGGGATGAAAGGTGCAAAGGAATAGTAAAGAAAGCATGTTTGAGATCCAGAACAGAGTAATGGGTTGTGGAGGGAGGTATTGAGGATAGGAGAGTATTTGGTTTTGGCAACACGGGGTGGATAGACAAAACAATTTGGTTGATAAGGCGCAGATCCTGAAGTAACCTGTAAGCCTTGTCTGGTTTTAGGACAGGTAAAATGGGGGAATTGTAAGGGCAGTTTATAGGCTTTAGAAGGCCATGCTGTAGCAGGCGAGTGATAATAGACTTTAATCCTTTTAAAGCGTGCTGTGGGACGGGATATTGGCATTCAGCGGGATAAGAGTGATTAGGTTTTAATGGGATGGTAAGGGGTGCATGATTGGTTGCTAAGGAGGGAGTAGAGGCGTCCTATACTTGTGGGTTAATGTGGGGAGATACAAGGGGAGGATGTGAAGGAGGCTTTGAACTGGGGGAAAAGGTGGCAATGAGGTGTGGCTGTAGCCCAGGAATAGTCAGGGAAGCAGCTAATTTAGTTAAAGTGTCTCAGCCTAATAAGGGAACTGGGCAGGTGCGGATAACTAAAAAGGAGTGCTTAAAAGAGTATTGTCTAAGTTGACACCAGAGTTGGGAAGTTTTAAGAGGTTTAGAAGCCTGGCCGTCAGTATCCCCAACAGTTATGGAGGCAAGGGAAACAGGCCCTTGAAAAGAAGGTAATATGGAGTGGGTAGCCTCCGTATTGATTAAGAAGGGGACAGACTTACCCTCCACTGTGAGAGTTACCTAGAGCATCTGTGATGGTCCTGTAGGCTTCCGAGGCGATCTGGCAGCATCAGTCTTCAGCTGCTAAGCTAAGAAGATCTGGAAAGGAGTCAGTCAGAGAGCCTTGGGCCAGAGTTCCAGGGGCTCTGGGAGTGGCTGCCAGGTGAGTTGAACAGTCCAATTTTCAGTGGGGTCCTGCACAGATGGGACACGGCTTACGAGGAATCCCGGGCTGTGGGCATTCCTTGGCCCGGTGGCCAGATTTCCAGCACTTGTAGCAAGCTCTTGGAGGAGGAAGTTCTGGAGGAACGCCTGGCTGCTGCGGTTCAGGCGTTTGGAAGTTCTTGTGTGCTGGAGATGTGGCTGGGGTTTGTCTCACAGTGGAGGCAAGGAATTGCAACTTTTTTCTATTATTGCACACCTTGAAGGTGAGGTTAATTAAGTCCTGTTGTGGGGTTTGAGGGCCGAATTTAATTTTTGGAGCTTTATATAAAGTTGGGAGCGTATTGGGTAATAAAATGTATATTGAGAATAAGACGGCCTTTTGATCTTGTAGGGTCTAGGGCTGTAAAGCGTCTCAGGGTTGCTGCCAAACAAGCCATGAACTGGGCTGGGTTTTTCGTATTTGATGAAAAAGAGCCTAAATGCTAACTGATTTGGGAGAGGTCGGATAAAGAAAAAGGAGCATTAACCTTGACTATGCCTTTAGCTCCAGCCACCTTTTTAAGAGGAAATTGCTGGGCAGGTGGGGGAGGGCTAGTCACGGAACAAAACTGTAAGCCGGACCAGGTGTGAGGAGGGGAGGTGATAAAAAGATTATAGGGTGGAGGAGCGGTGGCTGAGGAAGAATTGGGACCTAGCTCGGCCTGGCGAGGAGCAGCCTGGGGAGGAGGGGAGAGGTCAGATGGGCCTGTAGACAAGGAAGATTAGAAAGACTCAGCGACGCTTGGGGTTGGGACTGGGATGATTCGCATTGGGAACAGAGACTAGGGAGGGAACAATGTGTAAAAGAATGCCTGGCACCTCAGACCATTTGCCCATTTTTCGACAAAAATTATTTAGGTCTTCTGGGATGGAGAAATTGAAAGTACCGTTTTCTGGCCATTTAGAGCCATTGTCAAGTTTGTATTGGGGCCAAGCGGTGTTGCAGAAGAAAATACGATGCTTAGATTTTAGGTCAGGTGAGAGTTGAAGAGGTTTTAAGTTCTTAAGAACGCAGGCTAAGGGAGAAGAAGGAGGAATGGAGGGTGGAAGGTTGCCTATAGTGAAGGGGACAAGTTTAAAGAGAAGGGTAGAGACACAGAGAAGGGGGTAGGGAGCAGCCCTGGGCTGCAACGTGGGTGAGCAGCCAAAGCAGGGGTCCCCGCAATTGACTTGCCACCAAGGGAACGTGGGTGAATGATCAAGGCAGGAGTCCCCATGGAGATCAGAAACCAATGGAACATGTGTGAATCATCAGAGAGGTGTCCCCACAATGATTAAACACCAAGGGAAGGCTGCCTTCCAGAGTCCATGACCGGCGCCGGAGTTTTGGGCCCACAGATAAAATGTGTCTCCTTTGTCTCTACCAGAAAATGAAAGGAATTGAAATTAAGAGAAGGGAGAGATTGAAGTGTGGCGCCAAGATTGAAAGGAGAAAGAGGTTGAGGGATAGTGAGAGAGGTTGGAGAAGAGAGTAAAAAGAGGCCGCTTACTGGATTTGAAATTGGTGAGATGTTCCTTGGGCTGGTCGGTCTGAGGACCTGAGGTCGTAGGTGGATCTTTCTCACGGAGCAGAGAGCAGGAGGACAGGGGATTGATCTCCCAAGGGAGGTCTCCCAATTGAGTCATGGCATCAAATTTCATGCGCGTCCCTGTGAAGAGACCACCAAACAGGCTTTGTGTGAGCAACATGGCTGTTTATTTCACCTGGGTGCAGATGGGCTGAGTCCGAAAAGAGAGTCAGTGAAGGGAGATGGGGTGGGGCCGTTTTATAATATTTGGGTAGGTAAAGGAAAATTACAGTCAAATGGTGGTTGTTCTCTGGCAGGCAGGAGTGGGGGGCGTCACAAGGTGCTCAGTAGGGGAGCTTTTGAGCCAGGATGAGCCAGGAAAAGGAATTTCACAAGATAATGTCAACAGTTAAGGCAGGAACAGGCCATTTTCACTTCTTTTGGGGGTGGAATGTCATCAGTTAAGGCAGGAACCAGCCATCTGGATGTGTATGTGCAGGTCACAGGGGATATGATGGCTTAGCTTGAGCTCAGAGACCTGACAATTACCAAAGGGATGAAAATGTAACCTTTGCAATTCTGGAGCAAGGATGTGAGAGAGAAACTCAACTTCCTCTAATTTCTTGTTCTCCAAAAACCTCCTTATATGCATTTACCTGCTCCTGCCTCCCAGCTCTGCGTGAACCTGGCTCAGTCTTGTCACCACAATGCCTTCAGTTAAAACCAGGGGATAATATGGCCTCTTATTCCACATGAGAATGTTGGGCGGTACCAAATGGGGTGTTATATACAAGAGGCTTTCAGAGTCTGTCATGTGTTATGTGTGGAGCAAATGATGAATCCTTACCCCTTCCTTTATTGTTCTTGGCTTTCCAAGGACCTATGGAGTGAAAACAAAGACAGTTTTGTTGCGTGGCTCTTCTGCACTAAGCACTTTCTCACAACAGGGCCTCTCATAGCAGCTGTGTGAAGCAGGCATTGCTCTCCCAAGGTTATAGATGAAGAAACTGAAGCTCTGCTGGGCGACTTGCCTGAGATCACACAGTTCACACAGTTACGATGTGGCAGAGTTGATGTCTCCATTAGGTACTCTGAGCATGGGGCCTGTAGCACACAAGCTGTTTAAGAGCATTTAAAAATGTGAGACCTGAGAAACAATGACTAGCTCGAAAATAGCAAAAGAGCACTGTACAATCAAAAGCAATATTCATTTAGTTAAATATTTATGTCAAATGACATTAGGTCAACTTGCCCATGGCAACTTTACTCTTCAGTAGTTTAGGTCTATGTGAATTATATTCATGTGGAATATGGGTGCATATTACTGGTTTGTTAAGCTGTGAGATACAGGAGACAGGGCCTTCAAAAGCAAAGGAGCTGAAAGCCTGGGAAAAGACCAAAACAGCCTGAAGTGAAACTCAGTCCTCGAGCCTCATCCTTCCCCTCTGTTTCTGCCTCTTCTGGAGTTGAGCTAAGTGACTGCTCTGGGTTTTGTCTGGTCTGTGGAATGAGTAAAGGTGTTTTCAGGTTTCTTTCTAGGGCTCACAGGTGAGTTTGGACAGTTCTTCATCTGTCCACAAAGCAGTGACCATTTTCACTTTTTCTTTATCCATGTACGTCGAATGCCTGTTCATCAGGACACCTGTTATGCTAATTAAGTGCCCCTGTGTGCTTCTGCCATGAGAGACTGTGATTGTCAGTGGGACTCACTGGATTTCTGCCTCCTACTCACAAGAGGTTGTGGACCTCCAGCTCCCACTGTTGGGAGACCTAGTTGCTCTCTGTGTTCCATGCCGCTCCACATTGCAAACAAACCCAAGGACTCCTGCCTAATTTGCCCACCAGTGACAACCTCCCTGCTTTTCTGGCTAGTTTTATTGGCAGAAGTGTGCAATTTATTCCCCAGCCTGGGCACCGCTATCTGTCACAGTGTCTTGTACCCCAGCAGGGGACTGAATAGCTCACTGGCTCACGACAAAAATTAGGTAAATAGAGAGCCCTGAGTGGGTGAGGTGGAACATTTCTGCACACATGGAGCTGCACTGAGGATAGGAGCTCTTCAAACACTTGTGGGGCCCATGGACACGTGATGGTTGCACTGTCTTTCCTCACTGAGTGTGTTCTTCCCCCATATTGTTATAACTATGTCTACATCCCTTTCTGGAGCCTTCCATGTCACCACATTAGAATACACCATAGCTGGCCAGGTGCGGTGGCTCATGCCTGTAATCCCAGCACTTTGGGAGGCTGAGGTGGGCGTATCATGAGGTCAGGAGATTGAGACCATCCTGGCTAACACAGTGAAACCCAGTCTCTACTAAAAATACAAAAAAATTAGCCAGGCGTGGTAGTGGGCACCTGTAGTCCAGCTACTCAGGAGGCTGAGGCAGGAGAATGGCATGAACCCAGAGGCGGAGCTTGGAGTAAGCCGAGATCACACCACTGCACTCCAGCCTGGGTGACAGAGCAAGACTCTGTCTCAAAAAAAAAAAAAAAAAAAAAAAAAAAAAAAATACACCATAGCCTTCCTGCAGCAGAACCTGTGGAATTCCTTGGTGTGATCTTCAGTCTGCCATTATCCATGGATCCCATGGCAGACACATTTATCATAAGCTTTGACATTAGGAAGATCCATGTCCAATTACGCCTTCCTACCTAATACCTATGTGACTTCAGGCAATTTTACGTCTCTGGGTCTGTTTGTCCCTAGAATGAGGATAATGGAACCAATTGATGGGGATAGTGAGATAATTTATTCACTCATAAGACATGCTTTGAATGGCTACCATGTAGGAGTTAGTGTTTCTATTTTGCCTATGAGGAAATTAAGCCTTAGTTAGATGTTCTGTGTGGGACACGTGGCTAGTAAATGATGGAATCTATCTGGGCTGATTTGTCCATTAGCATTTACTCAGTACTGGGGACTCAATGGGATGCTGGGACGTGGTTTTTGCCCTGATAAAATCTATAGACTAAAGAGGGGCAGCTTCTGAACAAATAAGCTGAGTAAAACCTCTAATGTATGTAAGGAACCTGGTTCCATCCTGATTCAAAGTAGGTATTATTACTTTCTATCCCCTTCCTCTGCTCTGCCTGGATGTCACACTGTGCTTTTTCTTTTTCTTCTTTTTCTTTTTTTTTTTTTTGAGACGGAGTCTCGCTCTGTCACCCAGGCTGGAGTGCAGTGGCGTGATCTCTGCTCACTGCAAGCTCCGCCTCCTGGGTTCACACCATTCCCCTGCCTCAGCCACCGGAGTAGCTGGGACTACAGGCGCCTGCCACCATGCCCAGCTAATTTTTTGTATATTTAGTAGAGACGGGGTTTCACCGTGTTAGCCAGGATGGTCTCGATCTCACGACCTTGTGATCCACCCGCCTCGGCCTCCCAAAGTGCTGGGATTACGGGCATGAGCCACCGCGCCCGGCCCACTGTGCTTTTTCTTAATCTTTTGTGCTTTCGAATTTTGCTTATGCTATTATTCCTTCATCTTCAGAGGCTCTCTATTGCGGTTTGATTCATCCTTCAAGGCCTATTCAAATGTATGTCTGTGAAGTTGTTCCTAAATTGCTTGCTCAGGATGAAGCCATCTGGAAGGTTCTGTCACATAGTTAAAAGAGCGTGAGCTTTGGACTCAGGTGGGCCATATCAGATCTCAGCTCTACCAATCTGTGTGATCTTAGGCTTCTTGCTTGACCTCTCTGGCCTCAATTCCTTTTCATAAAATAGGAATAACAATGGTGGCCTCACAGGATTTTTGTGAATAATAAATGAAATAAGGCTTATTATGTGCATGGCATACGGATGGGGTACATAAATGATTTACTCATCCTTTTCCTTTCCCTCCCTCCCTCCCTCCCTCCCTCCCTTCCTTCCTTCCTTCCTTCCTTCCTTCCTTCCTTCCTTCCTTCCTTCCTTCCTTCCTTCCTTCCTTCCAGTGTGAATATAGCTCACTGCAGCCTCAAACTTCTGGGCTCAAGCGATCCTCCCACCTCAGCCTCCTGAGTAGCTGGGACTACAGGCAAGCACCACCATGCCCAGCTAATTTATTTTTCTTTTCTTTTTTTTAAAAAAGTTTTTTGTAGAGATGGCGTCTTGCCATGTTGCCCATGCTGGTCTCAAAGTCCTGACCTCAAGCAATACTCCTACCTCAGCCTCCCAAAGTGTTGGGATTACAGGCATAAGCCACAACACCTGTCCCTTTTCTTTAACATATATTTATTTTATTCTTTGATTTAGAATGACATCACAACATCCCATTTCTACTTCTAACTAGGGTCAGGGTGATCAAACATCGATATACCATGAAGTATGAAAGTCAGAGGGTTTCCTTGGTAGCACATAAAGCTACTGTTTTGTTTTTGTTTTTGTTTCTATAGTAGGAGGGCAGATAAAGGTGAGAATTGAGCCTAGGGCTTAATTATTAGAAAAACAGAGCCCCAGGGAAGAATGTCTTCTCAGTCCAGGCAAGGCTGTTTTACCAAAGTCAGGCCCTGACTGAGAAAGAGTGAGACACCAAGACTGGAATGGGAAAGTCTTCAGGATATCACACATATCCTCCATATGAAAAAATCTTGATTCTAAGCAGAACAGATGAGCAAAAAGTGGCATGTATGTTGGAGGCTATGTCAAGACAAATGCACCCTAGAGGTTGGGATTACCCCAACTAAGTTTCAGGGCATTCCTACATCAGGGAACTCTTTAGGAACTTAATGATCTGGTGCGTGAAGGACACCTCTTCAAAATAAAGGTTAAACTGTTGCATTTTGTCTTTCCCACTATTAGGGAGCAAGCATAATGCCTGATAGGCTTTTTTTTTTTTTTTTTTTTTTTGGCTTCTGGAGGCAATATGCTTTACTCCTGGGAACACTGTTTTAGTGAAACCCTGCCAGTCTTGTGTTAGTCCACAACAGTCTTGTGTTAGCATTTACCACTGAAGAGCCATGGCACAACCAGGTAGACAGAATGACATGGCCAGGAGATACTGGCCAGGTGGTCATTGTCCTTTCAATATTGGCACAGTGAACACAGTGATGGAGAAGCCATGATGGCTGGGATGGAGGCTACAAACAGGCTCCCACTTTAATATCAAGGTCGATCCAGCCCTTGTCATGACTGAATGTTCACTCTATCAGCAATAGAGGTCAATGCTGACTACCTGATATGGCACCAGTTTTGGAGGAGATCAACTAGCAACTTTCTGGCCAGTTGATTACATTGGACTCCTTTCACCTGTGAAAGGCTGTGATTCACTTTGACCAGAATTTACACTTGTCTACATTTGCCTTTCCAGCCTGCATGACCTCAGCTAGCACTGCCATTTGAGAACTTGCAGAGTGTTCTACCTATTTTTAGGAGATTCCTGTAAGCAACCCGCTTTATGGCAATGGAAGTGTAGCAGTGGTAGCATGACCATGGGATACGCTGACCATGTGACATGGTAGACTGCCCCAAATTTGCCCATCAGTTAGGTTGCTGACATGGCGTTTTCAAATAACCACTGATGAAATGGCTTGGAGATGATATACAAAGATGGAACATAATCCTTCAGCATGCACTGTATATCCTAAACCATAGATCATTGTATTGTGTTGCATCCCCAGGGAGTTGAAGACATGGGTCTGAGAACTAAAGGGTGAAAGTAGAAGTGACCCCATTTATCATCATACCCAGTTACCTACTTGGCGGTTTTGTGTCTCCCATTCCCATAACTTTGGGGTATGTGGGTTTAGAGGTTCTGTCAAAGAGCAGGAGCATTTCCACCAAGGCACAGAGAAAGAGTCCCGTTAAATTTTAAACTTTGGCTGTCACTTGGTCATTTCAGGCTCCTCATGACAGGAAGCTGACCGACAGGTAAAGACATCACCTTCCTGGTGAGAATATACTTTGCTGATCAGCAGGAAGTAGGTCTACTTTTTCACCATGGAGGCAGAGAAGGACATACTTGGTAGCAGGTGATCCACTGGGGCATCTGTTTGTACTCCCTTGTTCAATTTTGATGGCAAATGGATGAATGAACCGGCCATGACCTGAGGACACAGGCCACTAGACCAGAAGAGGGGCTGGCCAGAGGTGAGGGCAGTCTTCAATGAGTAGTAGATAAAGGAAATGATAAGTGTCAATTGCAGCAAAAGCTCCAGATTCAACAGTAGGTTCTATAGTTTCTCCCACTAACCTTCTTGTGATGGTTAATTGTATGTGTCAACTTGACCAGGACGTGGAGTGCTGAGACATTTGGTTAAACATGATTCTGTATGTGTCTGTGAGGACATTTCTGGACAAGACTAGCATCTGAATTGGTAGGCTGATTGCCTTCCTTGATGTAGATGGGCATCACCCAATCAATTGAAGACATGAGTAGAAGAAAAAGACTAAGAAGGAGCTCTGACTGCCTGATGGCTGAGCTCAGCCAGGAAAATTGGCCTTTTCCTACCTTTGGACTTGGACTGAAACATCAGCTCTTCTTAGGACTAGAGCTTGATGGCTTTCAGGCTGGGGCTACACATTGGCTTTCTTTGGGTCTCCAGCCAATTGCAGATCTTGGGACTTCTTAGCCACCATGATTATGTGAGCAAATTCTTTATAATAAATCTCTCATTTTCTGTCTCTCTCTCTCTCTGTATACACACACACATATAGACACACACGCACACGCTTATATAAGTATACATATACATGTATACCTATATAAAAAATATATATGCTTTTAAACAACAGATCTACAACTGTATCTCTATAACTTATCTAGAACCATGATAAATAGCAATTTAATGTTGTAGATTGAATGTTATTGTCACCCCAAAATTCAAATGTTGAACACAATGTATGATATTTGGAGATGGGGCCTTTGAGAGGTAATTAGAGTTAGATGAGGTCATAAGAGGCCCTAGTCTGATGAGATCAGTATCCTCATAAGAAGAGACACCGGAGAGCTTTCTTGAGTGCTCTCACTCTCTCTCTCTCTCTTTCTGCCTATTTGTACACAAAGAAAAGGTAATGTGAGCACACAATGAGATGATAGCCACACAAAAGCCAAGAGAAGAGTCCTCAGAATAAAACCTGCCTTGCCAGCACCTTGATGTTGGAGGTCTCACCCTCCAGAAAAGCAAGAAACAAATTTCTGTCATTTAAGCCACCCAATCTGTAATATTTTATTATAGCAGCCTGAGCATATTAACACATTTCTTAAGTTTCTCCAGAAAAGAGAACCACCAGAACCATGCAGAAGCTGTTTCCAGAACTTGTTTTACTAAGCACCTGTATCTGACCAGAGCAAGGGTGGACTGTAGTGGATACTGTGGTGTGCTGCCCAGGGCCTTTTTCGAGACTGAGTCCATCAATTAGCCAGCTGCCAAGAATGTTGAAAGAGCTCAGCTGAGTTTCTCTTCAAAAATTGCCCTCACCAGAAGTTCATGTCCTCACTTAAGTTTATGTCCTTTCCCCAGGGGCGTCCTTTATCCAATGATCATCCCAGGACCAGAGCTCCCTGTGGGAAGGGCTGTCTCTGTTGTAACTGTTCCAGCTCAGCCTCTCCCTCAGACCCATCCTACCTCCTTGGTCCCCCACGGTTGATCCCAGGGGCACCCTCCAGTATGCTTTCTGCGTATAGACTTCCATCTCAGAGTTTGTTTACTGAGAAACCGGGCTTAAGATACAAATATTACAGATATTATGTTTTCTTTAAATGAAATTTATAGATAATATACCTACCTCAACACACCAAAAAAACTTTTTAAAATGTTCCCTAACTATAATAAAGAAATAAAAGTAAAGCCATATTTAATAAAATCATAATGCATTTAGTATTTAATAAGGAAATAATGTCTCAGGTGAAGCTATATCAGAAGATGAGAAACTAGAGCCATAAAATCACCATGAATTTGAGGGAACTGCAATTCAGAGATACTGTTTTGCTAACACCTTGTGAACACTGCCAGCAGTCCTGCTATTGGGGATATTTTGTGAATTAGCTATCAACTCTTGGAAAGTTCTGAACAAACTAATGTTATACAATATTCTCTTGATTTACATGGTAATTGTACTCCTGGATAGTTCAGTGTAAAAATAGGGCAAAAATAACTATGTTTTCATGTAAAACCAAGAAAGGTTTTCAGCTAATGATAAACTTTTTTCCTTGTGCAGGATTGTCTGCCAGGAACTTTGGAGGTTGTGAGAGTTGTCAGGCAATTCTTGGTGGATGGAGCCAATGTGAGCTCTGTAGAGCACCTAGCACACCAAGTCCTTGCCTAAAAGTGCCCCCATCATTGAGACAGCAAGAACCACTCCCATACATTTCCCCTATGCCCTCCATATGCTCTGCTACAAAGGAAGGCCAGTAGGGAAAAGGAAAGGGAGTAAATTTTGAATAGTAGCCCCCAAACTGCAGATTTATACTACGACCTTATGATGGTCAGTGGCAGGACCCAAACTTGAACCCAGGCCTGTGGGATCCAGCCCTAGTGCTTCTTCTACCATGCCACTCTCCTACTTGAACTTCCTTAAGGAAGGTTAGGATCAGGGAATGGCATGCAAATGTGGTGGTTTTTAGAGAGAACCCTTCCCAGTGAGCCTCAGGGGTCAAGCCAAGGCCATTTGAAAGGCTGCCACATGATCTCTGCTAAATTAATAGCTTCTATTTTGAGCATCATGATTGAGGGGCTTTGGCACCAGCCTCCTTTTTTTTCTGCTTTTAAAGACAGGCAGCCAGGGTGGGCAAGTTTAACTTTTATGGTTTGATAGCCTTGTAATTGGTAATTAGTTGACTAAGGCTGTGTTTTAACAGTTGCAGAGGCCATTTGTGGGACCATTACTCTTTGAAGACATACATCTCTACCTCTCAATTTTCTTTCTTCTTTCCTGTTCTTCTGAGACTCCCTCCTTTCCTTCTGCACCTTTCTTAATTAGACTGCCCTACTTATCATGTGAAGATGTAGACCATAAGGAAAAAGAAAGAGAAAGACAGAATGTACTTCCTGAAACTGCGCCTCCTTTCTACTTCTTGCTTTTTGCTACGTTGGCACTACAGTACATGGCTGGGGGATGCAGATGATCCCCTTTACCCTGTGGTATCTCTTTGGTAGGGGACTAGGAGGCCATTTTAGGCTATGGATGGCAAAATTAGTCATAGAACTAATAAATCCCCTCTACAAGAGTTTTTCCTTTGTAAGAAAGTGTTCACTTGCCTACTAGTTTAAGTAATGGAGGGGCTTATTCAAAGGCTATTGAGTAACTCATAATATTAAAGTATTTGCTGAACCAACAGCCGGCAGAAAGGACAGGAACCAGGGGACGCCAGGACACCTCAGCATTAGAAACACTTGAACTGGTTCCAAGAGTGGCTGCCATCAGATTACCAACGGCAAGGACTTTCTGACTTTGTGCGCCCTTGCTTAAGACAAATTCCACCTCATCAAGAGATGCTGATTTTCCTAGCTGCTGTCAAGCCCACTGCTCCAGGGATAGGGATGAAGGTGTGAGGGATGAAGGTGTGAGGCATGGAGTGCAGCCTTGTGATTGGCAACCTCACCAAAACAACCTGGAGGAAGGAAGGGAAGTTCATGAAAAGGAGGCATGTGCCAGACTAAAACCACAAGTATCCACCAGAGAAACCTAGAACTTAAAGATTATCTTTCTACTTGTCCATTTGATACGCAAGAGCCCATTATGTGATACTGTACTAGAACATACCAGTGATAGACAATGCAATCATATTTGAGGCCACCCTCAAATGAAGCAGCATGGGAGAAACTGCTCTAAAAGAGAACTGAACTGAAATTCACCTCCATGTAACTTGTTCCTGTTGCTCTTAGCACATTTTCCTGGAGCCCCATGGATCAAGTCAATTCAGTTGTTCTCAAGATGATGCTTTAAATATTTGATGGCAGAAATCACATCTCTGTGGGTTCTTTCCCAAGCTTAAACATCCTTAGTTCCTTCAACCATCTTGGTGGGTTTTGGCCACTGGATATGTGCATTATTCAATTCCAGAACTACACATCTTTCTTTATATAGTTGCTTAATGCAGATTCCAATTTGCAGATAATACATTCAACAAAGATTTACAGAGCGCCTGCTTTGAGTCAGGAATTATACTAGATGCTGGGGATATATGTTGAGCAAACATAGACCTCTCCTCTCTCCCATTGTCTGGATCCTGGTCTAGTGTTGACCACCTTTCCCCCTCACATGTTCTTTCCTTCTGTGAGTTGGGCTGGGTGGGAAAAAATGCAAGAGGTAACAGGATTATTAATTATCTTCACCTCTCTTTTTCCCCAATGCTAGAACATGCCACTTTATCTCCTTGGTTTTCAATAAAAATAGAATTCTTTATTTTACAAATAAAATGTGTAACTAATATTTGTTGAGCATCTGCCATGTATTGGACATGAGGTTGGACAATTTCATGTATTTTATCATTCATCAGAAGCCCCTTGGGAGTAAGTATACTGGCCTACATTTTATAGATGAAGTAACTGAGACCCTCAAAGGGTAAGTCAATTGCCTAATGACAAGCTGATATGTGGGCAGAACAATATCTCTCTGATTTATCAAACAGGAAAAAATCCTTTGTTTTATGCTGCTAGAATACCAGCTTAGATGACAAGACCATAAACCTCTGGAAGGAAGACACTGGCTTATTCATCTCTGAACTCCTACTACCTGGCACACATTATCCTGTGTGATTGGATAATCATCAGATTCTTGGAATCAGAACAGACTTCTGAGGACTTGGAGTCTATTCTGTATTTTATATGCATTCCGAAAATATGGCCTCACTACACCTGTCTAAAATATTTGTAGTTTTTTCCATAGGACAGGCTCCCGTATTCCATTCTTGTTCCTTCTTAGGTAATCTATTCCTTCTCCTGGAGGCCAGTTCCCTGCCTCTAGTTTTGCCTAGCAAATACCCATTTATCTCTTAGGCTTCACATCAAATGCTACCTCTCCATGAAGACTTCCTCAGCTCTCTGGTTTAGAGTTCCTGATCTCTCCTTCCCACAGTGTTTTTCACAGTCCTCCAAGGTACAAATCATCTTGCTGTGCTGAATTGCCTTTTGGCTTGACTGTCACTCCAATAGGCTGGAAGTATTTTGAGGACAGGGGCTGTTTCTTCTTCTTTGTATATTCAGCACCCAACATAATGGGTGTCACATGGCGGATGGTCAATGAATATTTGTTGAATGAATAAATGAGTAATATGTCTTGGAATTGATTAAAAAAATCCAAGAACCATAATATTATAATGGCAAACTTCATTAAGTTCTCAGTGTCAAAAATCAAGAAAACCAAGAACTTATTATTTTGATTAATTTCAGGAAAACAGAAATCACTTTATTAAACAATTCTGTACAGTAAGAATGGAGATCAGTAAAACTATCACTCTCCTCCAGAAGCGGATACTGTAAAACGAGCTTTTTGTGGCTCTGAAGAAAATGCTTCTATAGAAAAAAGCATGATTAGTACTGCTGATAAGATTTATAATCATACTGTCACTGTTTATGACTTAAATAATTATCTAACAATGTTTCAAAAACCTGAAACTACCAAGCAAAGGGGTCCTAATGTGAATTCTCTCTTAGAGAAAGACAAAGTCCAAGGCCAAACGGACTGTTTGGTTGTCTGGTTGTTACTGTTCTCCTCCTTGGATGTCGAGAAGTTTAAGGAGTTAGAAAGACGAGCATGAAGTAGAAATTCAATCTGATTTGAAACTTGTTATTCTTAGCAAGACAATTCCAGATAGCAAAGCAATTAATCAATCAAAGCCAGCTCCCTCCCTAAAAGGGGAAGCTCATATCGTGTTATTTTACATTTTTCTTTAGAAAGAGAGTCTTGTGTATTTTTGTTTTTCTTACTCATGTAAGCTGTGCATGTGAAGCTGTGCAAAGAAAATCTGAATAACACATGTCCAGTTTTCTAGAAGTTTCTGTCTTTCACATAATAAAGGCTGCCTACAGATCATTGGGATTGGAACAAGTGTGAAAATGATATCTTTTTCCCTGCAAAAGGATCTATATTATAATAGTTGTCATTCACCACACCCTACTGTGTGCCAGGTGCTTTCCAGACATTGCATATTTAATTTTCACCAGCCGGCCTTTGTCAGTAGTGTTAACCCTACACTGCTACCACCAACATGGAACACTATCATCTTATGCCTGGTGGAAGGCAAACCCTCATCTCTCAAAGGTCTACTCACTGCATAACAACCAAGACAAGTCCATATATATATATATTATACTTTAAGTTCTAGGGTACAAGTGCACAACGTGCAGGTTTGTTACATATGTATACATGTGCCGTGTTGGTGTGCTGCACCCATTAACTTGTCATTTAGCATTAGGTATATCTCCTAATGCTATCCCTCCCCCCTCCCCCACCCCACAACAGGCCCCAGTGTGTGATGTTCCCCTTCCTGTGTCCAAGTGTTCTCATTGTTAAATTCCCACCTGTGAGTGAGAACATGCGGTGTTTGGTTTTTTGTCCTTGTGATAGTTTGCTGAGAATGATGGTTTCCAGCTTCATCCATGTCCCTACAAAGGACATGAACTCATCCTTTTTTATGGATGCATGGTATTCCATGGTCTATATATGCTACATTTTCTTAATCCAGTCTATCATTGGACATTTGGGTTGGTTCCAAGTCTTTGCTATTTTGAATAGTGCCGCAATAAACATACATGTGCATGTGTCTTTATATCAGCATGATTTATATTCCTTTGGTTATATCCCCAGTAATGGGATGGCTGGGTCAAATGGTATTTCTAGTTCTAGATCCCTGAGGAATTGCCACACTGACTTCCACAATGGTTGAACTAGTTTACAGTCCGACAAACAGTGCAAAAGTGTTCCTATTTCTCCATATCCTCTCCAGCAACTGTTGTTTCCTGACATTTTAATGATTGCCATTCTAACTGGTGTGAGATGGTATCTCATTGTGGTTTTGACTTGCATTTCTCTGATGGCCAGTGATGATGAGCATTTTTTCATGTGTCTGTTGGCTGCATAAGTGTCTTCTTTTAAAAAGTATCTGTTCATATCCTTCACCCACTTGTTGACGGGGTTGTTTTTTTCTTGTAAATTTGTTTGAGTTCTTTGTAGATTCTGGATATTAGCCCTTTGTCAGATGAGTAGATTGCAAAAATTTTCTCCCATTCTGTAGGTTGCCTGTTCACTCTGATGGTAGTTTCTTTTGCTGTGCAGAAGCTCTTTAGTTTAATTAGATCCCATTTGTCAATTTTGGCTTTTGTTGCCATTGCTTTTGGTGTTTTAGACATGAAGTCCTTGCCCATGCCTATGTCCTGAATGGTATTGCCTAGGTTTTCTTCCAGGGTTTTTATAGTTTTAGGTCTAACATTTAAGTCTTTAATCCATCTTGAATTAATTTTTGTATAAGGTGTAAGGAAGGGATCCAGTTTCAGCTTTCTACATATGGCTAGCCGGTTTTCCCAGCACCATTTGTTAAATAGGGAATCCTTTCCCCATTTCTTGTTTTTGTCAAGTTTGTCAAAGATCAGATAGTTGTAGATGTGTGGTATTATTTCTGAGGGCTCTGTTCTGTTCCATTGGTCTATATCTCTGTTTTGGTACCAGTACCATGCTGTTTTGGTTACTGTAGCCTTGTAGTATAGTTTGAAGTCAGGTAGCGTGATGCCTCCAGCTTTGTTCTTTTGGCTTAGGATTGACTTGGCAATGCAGGCTCTTTTTTGGTTCCATGTGAACTTTAGAGTAGTTTTTTCCAATTCTGTGAAGAAAGTCGTTGGTAGCTTGATGGGGATGGCATTGAATCTATAAATTACCTTGGGCAGTATGGCCATTTTCATGATATTGATTCTTCCTATCCATGAGCATGGGATGTTCTTCCATTTGTTTGTGTCCTCTTTTATTTCGTTGAGCAGTGGTTTGTAGTTCTCCTTGAAGAGGTCCTTCACATCCCTTGCAAGTTGGATTCCTAGGTATTTTATTCTCTTTGAAGCAATTGTGAATGGGAGTTACTCATGATTTGGGTCTCTGTTTGTCTACTATTGGTGTATAAGAATGCTTGTGATTTTTGTACATTGATTTTGTATCCTGAGACTTTGCTGAAGTTGCTTATCAGCTTAAGGAGATTTTGGGCTGAGACGATGGGGTTTTCTAGATATACAATCATGTCATCTGTAAACAGGGACAATTTGACTTCCTCTCTTCCTAATTGAATACCCTGTATTTCTTTCTCCTGCCTGATTGCCCTGGCCAGAACTTCCAACAGTATGTTGAATAGGAGTGGTGAGAGAGGGCATCCCTGTCTTGTGCCTGTTTTCAAAGGGAATGCTTCCAGTTTTTGCATATTCAGTATGATATTGGCTATGGGTTTGTCATAAATAGCTCACATTATTTTGAGATACGTCCCATCAATACCTAAATTTTTGAGAGTTTTTAGCATGAAGGGCTGTTGAATTTTGTCAAAGGCCTTTTCTGCATCTATTGAGATAATCATATGGTTTTCGTTGTCGGTTCTGTTTATATGCTGGATTACATTTATTGATATGCATCTGTTGAACCAGCCTTGCATCCCAGGGATGAAACCCACTTGATCATGGTGGATAAGCTTTTTGGTGTGCTGCTGGATTCGATTTGCCAGTATTTTATTGAGGATTTTTGCATCGATGTTCATCAGGGATATTGGTCTAAAATTCTCTTTTTTTGTTGGGTCTCTTCCAGGCTTTGGTATCAGGATGATGCTGGCCTCATAAAATGAGTTAGGGAGGATTCCCTCTTTTTCTATTGATTGGAATAGTTTCAGAAGGAATGGTACCAGCTCCTCCTTGTACCTCTGGTAGAATTCGGCTATGAATCCATCTGGTCCTGGACTTTTTTTGGTTGGTAAGCTATTAATTATTCCCTCAAACTCAGAGCTTGTTATTGGTCTATTCAGAGATTCAACTTCTTCCTGGTTTAGTCTTGGGAGGGTGTATGTGTCGAGGAATTTATCCATTTCTTGTAGATTTTCTAGTTTATTTGTGTAGAGATGTTTATAGTATTCTCTGATGGTAGTTTGTATTTCTGTGGGATCGGTGCTGATATCCCCTTTATCATTTTTTATTGTGTGTATTTGATTCTTCTCTCTTTTCTTCTTTATTAGTCTTGCTAGCAGTCTATCAATTTTGTTGATCTTTTCAAAATCAGCTCCGGGATTCATTGATTTTTTTGAAGGGTTTTTTGTGTCTCTATCTCCTTCAGTTCTGCTCTGATCTTAGTTATTTCTTGCCTTCTGCTAGCTTTTGAATGTGTTTGCTCTTGCTTCTCTAGTTCCTTTAATTGTGATGTTAGGGTGTCAATTTTAGATCTTTCCTGCTTTCTTTCGTGGGCATTTAATGCTATAAATTTCCCTCTACACACTGCTTTAAATGTATCCCAGAGATTCTGGTATGTTGTGTCTTTGTTCTCATTGGTTTCAAAGAACATCTTTATTTCTGCCTTCATTTCATTATGTACCCAGTATTCATTCAGGAGCAGGTTTTTCAGTTTCCATGTAGTTGAGTGGTTTTGAGTGAGTTTCTTAATCCTGAGTTCTAGTTTGATTGCACTGTGGTCTGAGAGACAGTTTGTTATAATTTCTGTTCTTTTACATTTGCTGAGGAGTGCTTTACTTCCAACTATGTGGTCAATTTTGGAATAGGTGCGTTGTGGAGCTGAGAAGAATGTGTATTCTGTTGATTTTGGGTGGAGAGTTCTGTAGATGTCTATTAGGTCCATGTGGTGCAGAGCTGAGTTCAATTCCTGAATATCCTTGTTAACTTTCTGTCTCATTGATCTGTCTAATGTTGACAGTGGGGTGTTAAAGTCTCCCATTATTATTGTGTGGGAGTCTAAGTCTCTTTGTAGGTCTCTAAGGACTTGCTTTATGAATCTGGGTGCTCCTGTATTGGGTGCATATATATATTTAGGATAGTTAGCTCTTCTTGTTAAATTGATCCCTTTACCATTATGTAATGGCCTTCTTTGTCTCTTTTGATCTTTGTTGGTTTAAAGTCTTGTTTTATCAGAGACTAGGATTGCAACCCCTGCCTTTTTTTGTTTTCCATTTGCTTGGTAGATCTTCCTCCATTGATTTATTTTGAGCCTATGTGTGCCTCTGCATGTGAGATGGGTTTCCTGAATACAGCACACTGATGGGTCTTGACTCTTTATCCAATTTCCCAGTCTGTGTCTTTTAATTGGAGCATTTAGCCCATTTACATTTAAGGTTAATATTGTTATGTGTGAATTTGATCCTGTGATTATGATGTTAGCTGGTTAATTTGCTCGTTGGTTGATGCAGTTTCTTCCTAGCATCGATGGTGTCTACAATTTGGCATGTTTTTGTAGTGGCTGGTAGCAGTTGTTCCTTTCCATGTTTAGTGCTTCCTTCAGGAGCTCTTGTAAGGCAGGCCTGGTGTTGACAAAATCTCTCAGCATTTGCTTGTCTGTAAGGTATTTTATTTCTCCTTCACTTATGAAGCTTAGTTTGGCTGGATATGAAATTCTGGGTTGAAAATTCTTTTCTTTCAGAATGTTGAATATAGGCCCCCACTCTCTTCTGGCTTGTAGAGTTTCTGCCAAGAGATCAACTGTTAGTCTGATGGACTTCCCTTTGTGGGTAACCCGACCTTTCTCTCTGGCTGCCCTTAACATTTTTTCCTTCATTTCAACTTTGGTGAATCTGACAATTATGTGTCTTGGAGTTGCTCTTCTGGAGGAGTATCTTTGTGGCATTCTCTGTATTTCCTGAATTTGAATGTTTGCCTGCCTTGCTAGGTTTGGGAAGTTCTCCTGGATAATATCCTGCAGAGTGTTTTCCAACTTGGTTCCATTCTCCCCATCACTTTCAGGTACACCAATCAGATGTAGATTTGGTCTTTTCACATAGTCCCATATTTCTTGGAGGCCTTGTTGATTTCTTTTTATTCTTTTTTCTCTAAACTTTTCTTCTCACTTCATTTCATTCATTTGATCTTCAATCACTGATACCCTTTCTTCCAGTTGACTGAATCGGCTACTGAGGCTTGTGCATTCGTCACATAGTTCTTGTGCCATGGTTTTCAGCTCCATCAGGTCCTTTAAGGACTTCTCTGCATTGCTTATTCTAGTTAGCCATTTGTCTAATCTTTTTTCAAGGTTTTTAACTTCTTTGTGATGGGTTCGAACTTCCTCTTTAGCTCGGAGATGTTTGATCGTCTGAAGCCTTTTCTCTCAACTCGTCAAAGTCATTCTCTGTCGAGCTTTGTTCCATTGCTGCTGAGAAGCTGCATTCCTTTGGAGGAGAAGAGGCGCTCTGATTTTTAGAATTTTCAGTTTTCCTGTTACGTTTTTTTCCCCATCTCTGTGGTTTTATCTACCTTTGGTCTTTGATGATGGTGACATACAGATGGTGTTTTGGTGTTGATGTCCTTTCTGTTTGTTAGTTTTCCTTTTAACAGTCAGGATCCTCAGCTGCAGGTTTGTTGGAGTTTGCTGGAGGTCCACTCCAGAGCCTGTTTGCCTGGGTATCAGCAGCGGAGGCTGCAGAACAGTGAATATTGCTGAACAACAAATGTTGCTGTCTGATCATTCCTCTGGAGGTTTTGTCTCAGAGGGGTACCTGGCCGTGTGAGTTATCAGTCTGCCCCTACTGGGGGGTGCCCCCTAGATAGGGTACTTGGGGGTCAGCGACCCACTTGAGGAGGCTGTCTGTCCGTTCTCAGATCGCAAACTCCATGCTGGCAGAACCACTACTTTCTTCAAAGCTGTCAGACGGGGACATTTAAGTCTGCAGAGGTTTCTGCTGCCTTTTGTTTCGCTAAGCCCTGACCCCAGAGGTGGAGTCTACAGAGGCAGGCAGGCCTCCTTGTGCTGCGATGGTCTCCACCCAGTTTGAGCTTCCCAGCCACTTTGTTTACCTACTCAAACTTCAGCAATGGCTGGCGCCCCTCCCCCAGCCTCACTGCTGCCTTGCAGTTTGATCTCAGACTGCTGTGCTAGCAATGAGTCAGGCTCCCTCGGTGTGGGACCCTCCAAGCTAGGGGCAGGATATAATTTCCTGGCGTACCGTTTGCTAAGGCCATTGGAAAAGCGCAGTATTAGGGTGGGAGTGACCCGATTTTCCAGGTGCCTTCTGTCATGGCTTTGCTTGGCTATGAAAGGGAATTCCCTGACTCCTTACACTTCCCGGGTGAGGCGATGCCTCACTCTGCTTTGGCTCATGCTCAGTGCACTGCATCCACTATACTGCACCCACTGTCTGACAAGCCCCAGTGAGATGAACCTGGTACCTCAGTTGGAAATGAAGAAATCACCCGTCTCCTGCGTCACTCATGCTGGGAGCTGTAGACTAGAGCTGTTCCTATTCAGCCATCTTGGAACCGCAAGACAAGTCTTAAAACCTAAGACTGCTCATGCTGCTTCTCTGCTAAAAACCCTCCAGGGGCTCCCCATCTCACACATTAAGAATGGCTCCCTTTGCTAAGGAAGTTCTGTAGGACTTGCCCCCTGCACCACATCACCTTTCTGGTCTCATCTCCTGTCACCTCCTCCCTCTCACTCTCTTTGCTCCAGCCTTTCTGGCCTCACTGATGCTCCTCAAACATACCAGGTAACCTCTTATCATCTTGCATGTCTTCATCTCAGGGTCTTTGTGCCTGCTCTTCCCTCTGCCTGGAATCCTCCCCAAGATCTCCACATGGTTGGCTCCTGACTCCTTCAGTCTGTGTTCAAATGTTCACATCTTCATGATACTTTTTTGATGACTGCATTTAAAACTGGATCCCTGTGGTACATACTCCCTCAGCTCTTTCTCCTTTCTTTTTAGTTTGTATCATTTTCTGATTTATTTTGCCTATAGCAGTCTTACTCCCCACCTCCACTGTCTATTCATTATATGCACTAGAATGTAAGCTCCTTGAGGGCAGGCACACTTGTGTTTGTTTTCTTTACCTCAGTTGCTCAGCAGATGACAGTTGCTCAGTAAGTATTTGTGCAATGAATCAATAGGGAAAACAGGCTGAATGGGGTTAAACAACTTGGCCTGTGTTACACAGCTATTAATATGGTTTGGATTTGTGTCCCCACCCAAATATCATGTTCAATTTAATCATGGTGGCAGATTTCTCCCTTCCTATTTTCATGATAGTGAGTGAATTCCCATGAGATCTGGTTGTTTGACACTGTGTAGCACCTCCCCCGTCTCTTTCTCCTGCTCCAGCCATGTAGGACGTGACTCCTTCGTCTTTGCCTTCCATCACAATTGTAAGTTTTTTGAAGCTTCTCCAGCCATGCTTTCTGTACAGCCTGCAGAGCTGTGAGCCAATGAAACCTCTTTCCTTTATAAATTACCCCATCTCAGGTAGTTCTTTATAGCAATGTGAGAATGAATTAATACAGATATTAAACAAGGGTGCAAGGAGTCTAGCCCCGGTCGGTCACAACCTGGAGCTAATGCTGTTCCCCTTCTGCAACACTAAGTCTGCATCTCTTTGTGGTCAAAAAGAAAGAAGGGTTAACGCTTTGGACATACTTGAACTGCTGGAAACTCTTGTGGGACTGGTGGTGTATTTTCATCAGGCTTGGTGAAAAAAACACAAAGGTAAAGACAGACCTGTGTCTCCACTTTCTAGCTGTGTGACCACAGCCAAATTATTGCACTTCTCTGAAGTGCAGTTTCCTCATCTACAACATAAGGATGGTTGATGGTACCTGGAAAATGAGGTCATTGTAAGAATGAAATTATACATTCAGTGTATACAGGACAGGTAGAATCAAGGCAAGAGTACCATAGTTTTAAGTTATTACGTTGTGAAATGATAAAAGTTATTAGTGCTTGAGTGTTCTCAGATTTTCTACCCCTTTCTGGTTATTGAAAGGAATGCTAATTTGGTCCAGTTAACTCTTTATCTTCTCCCCATATCACTCAGTGGAAGAGACCTCCAATGTGTGTATTTAAGTTATATGTTTCTTGCATGGGGTTCAAGACATACAAGCGAGTGCTACTTGAAATTACAATTGACCCCTGAACAATGTTAGGATTAGGTGTGTCAACCCCCTGTGCAGTCAGAAATCTACATGTATATGTTTTGTTTTCACCAAAACTTAACTGCTAACAGCCTACTGTTGACTGGAAGCCTTGCTGATAACATAAATAGTCGAGTGACACATATTTTGTATGTCATATGTATTTTATACTGTATTCTTACAATAAAGTAAGAGAAAAAATGTTGTTAGAGAAAATAATGAGAAAACTATTCATTAAGAGGAAGTACATCATCCTATAGGTCTTCATCCTTGTCGTCCTCACACTGAGTAAGCAGAGTGGATGAGGAGGAGTTTGTCTTGCTGTCTCAGAGGTGGCAGATGTGGAAGAAAATCTGCATATCAATGGACCTACACAGTTCAAACCTGTGTTGTTCAAGAGTCAATGTATTTTTAGCTGTTTGAACCCTGCTCTTTCACTGTTACACTGCCCCAGAGTCTGAGCCCAGTAGGATTTAGCTCTATAAGAAAGACACTAATATTATTAAATTTTTTCACTGCCATCTTCTCCTCTGACAGAGCCTGGTCTCCTTTATCCCTAACACATTCCCCATTTTCCATCCAGATTGTGTTAGGTTTCACATTCCATCAGTATTGTAAATAATTAACCACTTCCCTTCACAGCAAGCTCACTGCCTATTACTGTGAATTATTTACAGAAGAAATTCTGACTTGAGAAACCAAGATAATGGCACAAGTTATTTATGTAAAAGGAATGTGAGTTTTCTCAGACTTCACTTCTGCTTTCCAGCTTCCCTTATTGCAATTCTTGGTACTTGCCCAGCACTTTGGAAGCATTAACCAAGTCACTTTCACAGTTAATCTCTCATAAAAATGGGAGAAGTTACTGTCCCCACTGAACAGAGGGATAAAGGGATTAACCAGACATAGAATCTTGAGAGGATGCCCTTTCAAGACCCGTGGCCAGAGGAATCCCTGGAGGGGAAGACAAATTTCCTCTATAACTTACTTAAGGTGTGCAAATATACCTTATATTTCAATTTAGTTATCATTCAGGACAATAGAAAAGATATAAAGAAATTTTCTGCTTGCCGTATACATGCTACTCATAATGACAAGAGGAATTTATTCTTGTCAAGCTAGTTATTGACCCCTCTTACAGTTTTTAAAAGACTACCCTTAGCATTTTTCTGTCCACACACACAGGAGAAGAGTTATATAAGGACCATAAAATGACTTCCATTGTCGAAATCCTTCCACATCTCTGTGTATTGTTCTCCATACCCTATCCCTCATCCTCATTCTTTTGCCGAGATTTGAGAGGTGGAAATTAATTATGCTCTTCTTTCAGACTGAGTTCAGAACAGGATGAGAAATAGATGTCAGACAACTAATGGGCAAAATACCACTTTCATTATGGATAATGGTAAATTGGAGACCGTGTCTTGGATCTGCAGCAACCTTCAGGCATTCTAGTTTTTACCCCTGAGTTGAGACTTCAGGATGATGCATTCAAGGGAAAGTTGGGGTCTGTGAAGCTGTCAATCTTACCCAGAATAGCTGCCTTAAGCCTACCAAGGCTGAAGAGTGAGACCAAAAGAAAATGAGCTTTGAGAACTGCCACTAGAATGCAGGTGTTTGCTCATGCCCCATGCTGGCTGCAGTGCAGTAGAACATATCCAGTTTTGCAGGCAGGTAGGTTAAAGAGGGGGACCCCAATGGGACAGATCCATATATACTTATTTATTTTTACTGATGTCACCTATCAGATAGTCATCAGTGCACCCGGAGAGGGGTAGAAGAGTTACTTAAATCCCAGTTCACTAGAAGTTTCTGCATGGAAACGTGGAGGCTAAGAAGAAAGGCGACCTCTAATGTCCCTCTTAAAGATTCTGGCCCCAGACCATGATGCTCAGACCAACTGTTTTGGTCAAGACTTTTGTGGTTGCAATTGACAGAAACCCCAACTCAAACTTGTTTAAGCAAAAGGGACTATAGTAGCTCATCAAACTGCCAAATCCACTCACTGTGAACATTAGGAGATGAAAGGCTGTCATTGGAACTCTGGTTTTTTCCTTCTCTCTTGACTGTTTTCCTTTATTGTGGCACCATTCTCAGGCAAGATGTTGGCTTGTGGTAATTGGATGGCTGCCAGCTTCCATCCCCTGAGTGATCCTGGTGGGGCATGGGGTGGGTGAGTCTGTCTTCTTCAACTGCTCCAACAAACAAACTGGAGATGGGTTTCATGGGCCTGGGTTGGGGCAAGTGCCCACTCCTGAGCCTATCACAGTGGCCATGGAGATGAAATGCTTTGTGTATTAGTCAGTTCTTGCATGGCTATAAAGAAATACCTGTGACTGGGTAATTTATAAAAAAAGGAGTTTTAACTGGCTCACAGTTCTACAGGCTGTTTAGGAAACATGACAGCATCTGCTTCTGGGGAGGCCTCAGGGAGTTTTGACTCATGGCAGAAGGCAAAGCAGGAGCAGGCTGTCTTCACGTAACCAGAGCAGAAAGAAGAGAGAGGTGGGGGAGGTGACACACACTTTTAAACTACCAGATCTCACGAGAACTCACTCACTATCACCAGAACAGTCCCAACTGGGGGAATCTACCCCCACGATTCAGTCGCCTCCCACCAGGCCCCACCTCCAATATTGGGGATTACAATTTGACATGAGATTTGGGCAGGAACACAGGTCCAAACCATATCACTGGTTGGCTGATCCTGGATCATATGCTACCCCTCCATTGGAATAAGGATGTAGGGAAAAGCTTTATCCAAATCACATGGACTAAGATTAGGGGAAGTGAGGAGTCCTCAAGAAATATGGGGTGCTATGACCAGGAGACTCAGAAAAAAAATCACATCCTTTTTGTCTTTTCCCTGATCCCTTTGGATTTTTTTTAGATAAAGTTAATTTCAGTGTAGTTTAGATTTACAGAGTAATTGTAAAGATATATTCCATGCTCAGTTTCCTCTATCATTAACATCTTACATTACTGTGGTACATTTGTCACACTTAATGAACCAATACTGATACATTATTATTCACTGATGTCCACATGTAGTCCGATTTCCTTAGTTTCTAGTTAATGTCCTTTCTCTGTTCTAGGATTCCATCTATGATTTCATATTGCTCTGAGGCATCCTGTCTCCTTAGATTCCTCTTGGCTGTCAAAATTTCTAAGATTTTTCTTTGTTTTTGGTGACCTTGACAGTTTTGAAGAATGTTAGTCAGGTATTTTGTAGACTCTCCCTCAGTTGGGATTTGTCTGATGTTTTTCTCTTAATTAGGTTAGGGTTATGGGTTTTTTGGAGGAAGACCACAAAGGTAAAGAACATTTCTTATCACATCCTATCAGGAGTACATGCTATCAACATGTCCTGTCACTGTTGATGTTTACTTTGATGTGACATAAGGCAGCTTTTATCAGGTTTTCCAGCTGCAAAGCACTCATTTTTCTATCTTTTCATACTGCACTCTTTGGCAAAATGTCACTACGCATAGTCTGCACATAAAGAATGGGAATTATGCTGTAACTCCTTAAAGATGCAGCATCTGCATTGATTATGAAAGATGTGGAATCCTCTGTGCAAGAGACTTGTCTATTCTCCTTCATTTATTTATTAGGTTGGTGCAAAAGTAATTGCCCTTTTTGCCATTTATAATTGCAATTACTTTTGCACCAACCTCATTTTTATTCAGTCACTTATTCATATTACTATGGACTCATGGTTTTTTTTATACTCTGGGTTGTAATCCAATTCATGTTATTACTTTTTTGCTCAAATCATCTCAGCTTTGGTCACTTGGGGCTCTTCTTTCTTTCTTTCTTTCTTTCTTTCTTTCTTTCTTTCTTTCTTTCTTTCTTTCTTTCTTTTTTTTTAATTGGCTCCTGTGTCCCCTTGGTCTACTTCATCATTGTGTGTGTTTCTTCACTTCTTTGCTTCCTGGTACGGCAAGATGCTCCAGTCTCATCTTACATATTTACGTATTTCTTACCCCAGTCCTACAGTCAATCACTTCTCTAGAAAGCCCTGGTTCCTTTTATGGTAGAATGGTTTTAGAGACCAAGATGGAGGTGTGATATGTGCTTGTTGGTTCTAGGCCCTTGCAGCTGACAGAGCAAGGAAATATATACGTATGTACTAACCAGTGTATATATGCATATCATTAACTGTGTCTTTATGTCACCTTATATTAAGCTAAAATACTCATGTGTAGGACACTGATCTGGTACCAGATGAATCATTCTAGCCTTCTCCCCTTGCTTGTCTGTAACCTTTCTCTCCAACAATAAAAAATCTTGGCTTCCACCATTTACCACCCATTTATTAAATTGTTCAATTCCAGTATGAATAGACAGTGGTTTCATAATTGTTAACCCGTCCTCCCTTTAGATTTGATGCCTTGCTTATATTCCTATTTATCTTGCCTTTCCACTAGCTGCACTATCCAATCAGGTAGCTACTAACCACTTGTAACTATTTGAACACAAATTTAAATGAATTAAAATGAAATACAATGAAAAGTTCAGTTCCTCAGTTACACTAGCCATATTCAAGTGCTTTATTGCTACCTGTGGCTAACGGACAGCATAAATATAGTACATTTCCATCATTGCCTAAGATACCACTGCACAGTCTAGAACTTGCCTAATGCTGTGTTCTTGCCTAATGCTGTGTTCCTACATATCCAAGGAGGGGAGTTGAGACACCATATGCTGAGAATTGCATGATGAAGATACAGGCTCTGCCCTAAAGAGCACAGCACTGTATGATGGAGGCATATACAAGCTGTCAAAGCTCATAGCAAAGCCCGGGACTGAGGCTGGGAGTTTATGAGAGAAAGCATCTCAAGGGAGACTTGAGCTAGGTCTTGAAGATTGCAGCTAAGATTGAAAACCTGCCAAGGGCAGGCCTGGGGAATGGAATAGTGTGTGCAGTGTATGGGGGGGTGCAAGTGCTGTGAGTGCCATATTTGCGGAATGCAGCATTGGAGAGCCAAAAGCGAGTTCTGTTTTCTTTTTTCTTTTTTTGTGAGACAGAGTCTCGCCTTGTTGTCCAGGCTGGAGTGCAGTGGCATGATCTTGGCCCACTGCAACCTCCGCCCTCCAGGTTCAAGCGATTCTCCTGCCTCAGCCTCCTGAGTAGCTGGGATTACAGACATGTGCCACCACGCTCGGCTAATTTTTTGTACTTTTAGTAGAGATGGGGTTTCACTGTGTTAGGCAGGTGGTCTCAATCTCCTGACCTCATGATCCGCCTGCCTCAGCCTCTCAAAGTTCTGGGACTACAGGTGTGAGCCACCGCACCCTGTCGCCAGTTCTGTTTTCTTAGCTTTGGCTCTTAGGTCAGATCTGAGACCTCCTACATATCCAAGGAGGGGAGTTGAGACACCATATGCTGAGAATTGCATGATGAAGATACAGGCTCTGCCCTAAAGAGCACAGCACTGTATGATGGAGGCATATATAAGCTGTCAAAGCTCATGGTGAAGCCCGGGACTGAGGCTGGGAGTTTATGAGAGAAAGCATCTCAAGGGAGACTTGAGCTAGGTCTTGAAGATTGCAGCTAAGATTGAAAACCTGCCAAGGGCAGGCCTGGGGAATGGAATAGTGTGTGCAGTGTTTGGCGGGGGTGCAAGTGCTGTGAGTGCCATATTTGCGGAATGTAGCGTTGGAGAGTTAGTAGGTTTGGAAAGGTGAGCATGTTTTGGAACATGGAGAAAGTGGCAGGGCATAGACTTGGAAGGTTATCTGTGGGTAGATTATGTCTTCAAGCAATTTGGGACTTTATAATGAAGGTTGTGGGAGTTAGTAGAGAATTTTAAGCTGGAGAATGATGTGTTTTTATCTCTATTTTAGAAATATCACCCCGGTGGCTGTAGGATATTGTTTTGGGAGGTGGAGCTGGAAATAGAAGATATGGTTAGCATGCAGGGAGAAGAGGATCCAGATTTTTTTTCTTTCCAGTTCTTATCTCCTTCAACCTCCTTGTCATTCTTGCCACCTCCTACTTCTTGAAACTCTACCTTCTTGGATTTTCTTGACAATCTTCTCTGCTAGTCTTCTCACTTTCCTGTCTGTTTTTCTTGAGTATATTAGTTTTCCGCTGCTGCCATAACAAATCACCACAAATTTAGTGGTTTTAAACAATACAAACTTCTCATATTAAAGTTCTGTAGTGTAGAAGGTCTGACCCATGCCTCAGGGAGCTAAAATCAAAGTGTCAGTATCATTATTTCCTTCTGGAGGCTGGGGGACAGAATCTGTTTCCTTGCCTTTTCCAGCTTTAGAGGCTGCCCACATTCCTTGGCTGGCCCCCTCTTTCTTCCTCAAAGCCACTAATGAAGGGTCAAATTCCTCCCAGATTGCATCACTCTGACTTCTCTTCTGCATTCTTTTTCCACTTTTAAGGGTGCTGTGACTGCCTTGGCTCACCCATATAATCCAAAACAATCCTGTAATCCCATCTGTAAAGTCCCTTTTGCCATGTAAGGTGACAGAGTCACAGGTTCCAGGGACTGGGGCATGGGCATCTTTGGTGGGGGCATTATTCTGCCAACCACACTGAGCATTTCACAGACTGTATTAGTCCATTCTCACATTGCTATAAAGACATACCCGAGACTGGATAATTTAAAAAGAAAAGAGGTTTAATTGATTCACAGTTTCACAGGCTATAAGGAATCATGGTTGGGGAGGCCTCAGGAAACTTACAATCAAGGCAGAAGCCAAAAGGGAACCAAAGCACATCTTCACATGACTAGAGCGAGGGGAAGAGACAGCAAAGGGGAAGGCGCTACACACTTTGAAACAACCAGATTTCGTGAGAACTCAATCATATGACAGCAGCAGGGGGATGGTCCTAAATCACCAGAAACCACCCCCATGATCCAATTATCTCCCACCAGGCCCCACCTCTAACACTGGGGAATTATAATTCAACATGAGATTTGGGTGGGGACACAGAGCCAAACCATATCGCAGACATTTCTGGAGTTCTTCTCTAAGTTCACATCCATCCTTGGCTTTTTACACTGGTCCAGCTACTGGACTCACATTTACAATCTGTATCTCTGTGTTCAATATTTGGAAAAATTCCTTGTGAGAAAAGGGAAAGTTTGTTTTGCAGAGCTACCAAGGATAGAAGGAGCATACAAATGGTGGTAGGATTGGTCCCAGCATTGGAAAGCCCCCGCATTGCCTGGGCTAGGGAACATTGTCAAGTTAACGGTCCAGCTTTGTGAGGGAGAAGAATAATACCTAGAAGTTCACACCAGGCAGAGCCTATTGTGCTTCTCAGAGGAGTCAGAGAGGTGGCAGGTCAAGGGAAAAATACCAGGATCAGAGGAATGGGTGTGAGCAGACAGAGCTGCTCATAGGAGCCAGAGCAGAATGAGCACAGAGAGAGCCATGCAACTTGGAAGGACAGTTTGTAATTGGACATAGACCTCAGTTGGGGCAAATTAGGACCCCACTTTTCCCAGAAACAGAGATTGTCAATTTTTTTATGGGAACAGACACGGGGAGAATTTTGGCAGAGTGAAGCTGCTTTGCAGACTGATTTCCTGCGAGATCAGACTTCATTAATAGAGGTGGCTACCTAGAACGATAAAGATAACTATTACTTCTTGAGCATTTACCATGTCCTGGGCTCTTTATGACCATTATCTCCAGTCTTCACAGCAATCCTGTAGGCTATATTTAAACAATGAGGGAATTGAGACTCAGAGAGATAGAAAAAGGGGAGCCAAGATTTATATAAAAGTCTATATAATGCCCAAACCACAGCTCTTTCAAACACAGTGCACTGGAGGGAAGCAGCTGGAAAGAGACACAGGGAGGTAGTGATCCACTGAAGACTAAAATCCCCGGAGCCACAAGGCTCTCTTCTGGTGTCATCCTGGAGATGAAAATTCACAAACGGGAGTGTGCCTGAAGTAGGCTGGTGATGATGGGAGAGGGCCTGAGAACTGTATATGGGAACTGTTCTGTGGGAATTCAGTTTGGTATAGAGATGACTTGGGAAGAAACTATTTTATTTTTCTCAAAAACCTACAGGGAAGTAGATTTCTATCTCTTAGTGGGAGGGCTCTTTTGCTATCCTGTCTCTTCAACTCTGGGTGAAACACTGTGATGCTGATGGCATATTGCATGGGGTGTCTGCCCTCTTTTCGAGAGTTCTGCGGGGCTTGTCTGAACAGTTATCTGTTCAGGTGTGATCCAGTGAAGATTCAATCCTGAAGGCAAACTGCATGGATGCACAGGTGCCTGGAAGATTCCTGTAAGTCTAGGATTCTATGAGTATGGGATTTTCCTTTCTTTGTTTGCCTCTCCATTACCTGTCCACTTCTTAGAGCTCTTCAGACCCTTTTTTCCAGGGAGCTTTCCCAGATCACTGCAGTAACCAAGATATAGCCTCCTTTGAAGGTACATATTTTTTCAAATAGATGAGGGGCCAGTACACTTTGAAAAGGGTCAGGTAGTAAGTGTTTTAGGTTTTGTGAAATAAGTGGTTTATTTTGCAACTACCTAGCTCTGCCACAGTAGTATGAGAATAGCCATAGACAATACTCAACAATGAGATGGCTGTGTTCCAATAAAACCGTATTTATATAATACAGAGGGACTAAATTTTAGCTTCTGCAGAGTCATTTGCTGACCCCTGATCAAGACCATTTGTTCTGTGAAAAATGATGTCTTGTTTAGAATTGTCTCTAGCCATAAAGCAATGCATTATTATGAGTCTTTAATTACTCTTTATTACTTTTTTCATGTTGGGTAAGCCCTATTTCCGTCATCAGATTGGAAAACAATTTAGGGCAGAGGCTCATGATCTTTCAGTAGCCTCACAAATCTACCATGATGACTCCAACTCCAATGCAACTTAACAAGATTTATGACTTTGAACAAAGAGTCACAGAATCATTGACATTTATGTAGACTGGCATGAACTACAGAAATGAATGGGTTCCAAACCCCACTTTCTAAGATGGAAACTCTGAAGCCTGGGCAAGAGCTCCATCTTTCCCAACATCCCATGATAAGTTAGAACCTGATCCCCTGATGTGTCAGCCAGGGGTCTCATTCTGCACCACTGGGGAACCCTGGCAGTTTATGCAGCACCAGGCAATCACTCACTGTGGGCCTGCTATTTTCCAGGCAGAGAGCCAGGATCTGGAGATGCAGGGCTGAGGGAAGCTCTGCATTCCCTCTCAAGACATATGTGAAGTTGAGATGGGGAATCAGACACGCCATACGCGTCATGCCCCTCTCTGTATGTGCAGCCTTCTGTGAATTCTACCATGCAGTTTCATTGAACAGTACTGCACACAGAGTCCTCTTAACAATAATGGTTACACTCTTGGTAGGAGTGTAAATTAGTTCAATGATTGTGGAAGACAGTGTGGTGATTTCTCAAGGATCTAGAACTAGAAATACCATTTGACCCAGCAAATCCCATTATTGGGTTTATGCCCAAAGGATTATAAATCATTCCACTATAAAGATACATGCACATGTATGTTTATTGCAGCACTATTTACAATAGCAAAGACTTGGAACCAACCCAATGCACATCAATGATAGACTAAATAAAATGTGGCACATATACACCATGGAATACATACAGCCATAAAAAATGAGTTCATGTCATTTTCAGGGACATGGATAAAGCTGGGAGCCATCATTCTCAGCGAACTCACACAGGAACAGAAAACCAAACACCGCATATTCTCACTCATAAGTGGGAGTTGAACAGTGAGAACACATGGACACAGGGAGGGGAACATCATACACTGGGACCTGTCAGGGAGTGGGGGACAAGGAGAGGGAGAGCATTAGGACAAATACCTAATGCACGCAGGGCTTGAAACCTAGATGATGGGTTGATAGGTACAGCAAACCATCATGGCACATGTATAGCTATGTAACCTACATGTTCTGCACATGTATCCCAGAACTTAAAGTAAAATAAAAATAAATAAATAAATAAACAATAATGGCTGCTATTGATTAGGAGTTTCCACATACCTGGCACCATATTAATTCCTTAGAATGCATTTAATTTTCTTTCTTTAGATGACCTCAAGCCCTCTTACCACAAACATATTAAAATGTTAATTAAGAGAACACACTGTGACACACGCAAATTCTCCATTAAGTGTGTTGCTTAATTAACTATTTTATGGCTTACAGGCAATGGGAATTTCTGGGTGACATCAGTCAGCTAAAAATTATTTACCTCAATGACAGGGGAAAAGTGAGGCTCTTTCAAGAGTGATGTCTCTAGGCTTCACAGTGTTCTGGCAGCTGAGTCCCCTGAGGCCATACTCTCTGTAGTGCCCTCAGGCGATGGGTTTTGGAGAGACACACTCCTGCTTCTACGGAAACAAAGTCTGCTCCCCACCTCTCAGAGCTGAGTGCACATACTAATTCCTGCTATTCACACAGCCCCATCTTCTGATGAAATCATGTATTAGTGATATGATTTTAGCCATTGCCAGATGAAATTCCCATTGTAGCTCAGTAGATGAACAAAAAAATATTAAGTAAACTCTTTTAAACTATCAGCTCCACTTATATGGTCTGGCATGATAGGCACTTAATATTTAGTGACTGATCATTTATTTTTCCATAAATAAGTCTTCCCATGGTGTTGGTAACACAATATGCATACAACTGATTTTCTGTAAACTCCTCAGTCACTATGCCTAGATTCAAGCCAACCTTTTTCCTGTGTCCACTGAGATGCCCATAAGTTAGCATCTGAGCAGAGAGAACAGAGGAGGAAGAATCAGTGATGTCAACCAAGATTCTGTTTCCTAGAAGCTACATACAAAACTGAGTTGAAGTCCGTTACAACGCAAGTTCTAGGGAAAAGATGACATTCATCCAGCATGACAGCATGGTGCATTTTATAAAAGTACAATCACATTGAGCTTGCTGGGGTTGACCTAATCAGACTAGGCAGAGACAGGCGAGGCAGAGAATTGGAGGTGTGTTTATTTCACCAGGGAGAGCAGTGGAAAAATACAAGGAGAAAGAACTAGAGGGGGAGGGCCAGATTCTCAGCCCAGATTTGCTGTTCCAAGTAGAGTAATTTGGGGCAGATTATTTAATTTCTCATAGGAAAAATGAAGGAGCAGTCGAGAGAGAGAAAGGCAGGCATTAGATACTTTCTCTGACATTCAGGGATTCTCTGGAATCAAGAAACATCACCTTGATTCTGAATCAGACCATGAGACATCCTGCAGTGGATTGAATAATGCCCCTGCCTGCTAAAAGATATGTCTCTGTCCTAGTCCCTGGAAACTGTGAATGGGATTTTATTTGGAAAAAGGTGTAACTAAGGGTTTTTTTTTTTCAAAGATATAATTAAGAATCTTGTGATGGGAATATCATACTTATTTGGGTGGACTCTAAATCCACTGACACCCATCCTTACAAGAGAGAGACACATCGGGGAGAGGCAATGTGAAGATAGAGACAGAGGTTGGTGTGATGTGGCCACAAGCCCAACGATGCCAGGGCAGCCACCAAAACTTGGTGAGGGCAAGGAACAGATTCTCCCCAGAGAAAGAGAAAGACCCCACTGATACCTGGATTTCCAGCTTCTGGCCTTTTGTTTTAATAGCCACCCCAACATACACCCCAAAGGCATGAAGAAGGAGGCACCTGTGCCAGGAATCAACTGAAGCAGTGATTTTTCAAAGTCCATTTATTTTTTTCTGCTGGAATGTTCTATCCAGTCTGCTTTGGGCAAGAGCACTGGATAACTGAGCCCCTGAAACATTTGAGCATCAGAGTGGCTTTGCTGTCTCCCCTTCCAGGCAGAAAAGAATGCCATTGCCCTTTTCCTCCATGGTCCAGAGCAATGGGAAGATAATCGGCTCCCTGCTTCTGCCCCCACAGGCTTCTGGAGCTGTGCAAATCTATCAGAGGAGGTGGCTTTTCACACCAAGGCAATATTTTTAATCAAGAGTGTGGCCTCCAGAAAACTGTCATGACAGGCCTGGTTCCTGACCCAGGTTAGAGCTCTGGATAGTGATCCTCTGTGACTCTGCAGAGAACACCATGACAGATCTGTTCGCATGCTTTGGAGCTGAATGTCATGTCTTTCTGCTCTTGCTTTCTGTTGTCCACATGTCTGGGCTTTGAGTATTTTCTTTTTTTTCTTTTTCTTTTTTCTTTTTTTTTGTTTTTTGAGACAGAGTCTCACTCTGTTGCCCAGGCTGCAGTGTAGTGGTGCAGTTTCGGCTCACTGCAATCTCTGCCTCCCGGGTTTACACTAGTCTCCTGCCTCAGCCTCCTGCGTAGCTGGGACTACAGGTGCCTGCCACCACACCTGGCTAATTTTTTGTATTTTTTAATAGAGATGGGGTTTCACCGTGTTAGCCAGGATGGTCTCAATCTCCTGACCTCGTGATCCGCCTGCCTCAGCCTCCAAAAGTGCTGGGATTACAGGCGTGAGCCACCGCACCCGGCCGTCTTTGGGTATTTTCTTCCTTCCACAGTGGGATGGAAAAATGAGTGTTAGACTCTTGGAGAAGTCAGCTCCCAATCTAGCTCCGCCCCTTCCCAGCTGTGTGGCCATGGGCACCGCCCTTAATCCTACGGAGACTTTGTGTTCTCATCTATGACATGCAGGAGAGGAGACTCACTTTGCAGGTCTGTTGATGATTGGGAATATGCTGAAATAATTGAAGTGAATATTTACTGAGTGTTTATGTGTCAAGTCTGTGCTAAGTACAATAATTATTTTGTTTAATTCTTACAAGGTTATTGAGTTAGATCTTACTATTATCTCCAGTTAATGTGAGAGGAGACAGGGACTAAAATAGGTTGAGTAATTTGACCCAGCTTAACTGACCAGTGTGGGGGCAAAGTCAGACTCAAACTCAGGACCGTCTTACATAAAACTTGTGCTCTAACCCTTATGTCATATTGCCAGCTGTTGTGTGAGTAAATTTGCTTTAGTTGCATATGTCACATAGTCTTAAGATGGCTTCCTCCAACAAGTCTCTGCAATGTCCTGTTTTTCCCTTTTTGTATTAGTGTAGGGCATGTATTGGCAAATTATGACCCATGAGGCAAATCTGGCTCACCACCTGTGCTTGTAAAGTTTTATTGGAACACAGCCATGTTCACTTGTTTACAAATGGCTGCTTTTAGACTACAACAACAGAGTTGAGTATTTACAACAGAGACTCTATGGTTTGCAGACCTAAAAATCTGGCACTTTACAGAAAACGTTTGCCAACCCCTGGTGAAACAGGAGAAGTTCTTTGTCCCCCTCACAGGGCATGTGATAGGGGTGTGACTCGCTTCTTTGGTGCCCCACTGCTCAAACTTCTAGGGGGAGCATGCAGATGGACAGGCGATGGGGCTCCGATCCCATGGCAGCATCTAGGGGTGAATGCTTACAGCTCATGAAGCCCCCGTGGGCATTTGTTACAGGGTGCTCTTTTAGTTTAGCCCTCAGAACGTAGCTGGTGTTAGTCGGCTCAGTTAGACACTCTGCCTTATCAGAAGGACAGAGGGCTTTTTGTATGTCCGGGTGTACTGGGGTACTTAGGTGTACCGGAAGAATTGGATCACACTTGGGCTTGGAAAATGAGTGTGAGAGTTTATTAACTGGAAGTAGTTCTCAGCAGATGGGGGAGCCAGAAAGGAGGTGGTTTTCCCCTGGAGTCAGGCCGCTCAGCTGCCCAGTCTCTCCTCTGATACCCCCGCCCGGCCCCGCCAGCCAAACTCCAAGTTGTTCCACTGGTCAATGGCCTGCAGGCCTACAGGTGTCTGTCGGTGTGCTCTTCTGCCGGCGTGTTCCCCTTGATGTTCCCCAGCCGCTTGTGTCTTCTGCTGATGTGTTCCTCTCAATGTCCAGCCGCTTATGTCTCTGTCTGCTAGGGTCCTGGGGTTTTTTTAGGCACAGGATGGGGGTGTGGTGGGCCAGGGTGGTCTTGGAAAATGCAACATTTGGGCACAAAGGCAGAAGTGCCTGCCCTCACCTAGGTCAGTAGACACAGGCTCCTGGGGTGGAGTCCTTGCCAGGGATCATGCCCTTCCCTTCTCAGCACTTTCCTGCCCCGCTTCCGTATCACTGGTAGGTGAGAGAGCATGAGCTTGGAACTTAGGATGAACTGGGTTCAAATGCTGACTCTTAACCCCCATTTCCAGCTCTATGACAGTGGGCAGGCTCCTTGAGCTCTCTGCTCCTCAGTTTCCTCCTCTGGGAAGCAGGCAGGCTGGTGGCCATCTCAGGGAGTTGAATGAGAATGCCCAGCAGAGTGTCGGAACAGAGGATGGCAATTCCTTTCTGTGTCTCCTTCCTTCTCCTCTCCCTCACTGTTGTGACAAATGTAACCAAGATCACTTCCTGGCAGCCTCCTCTGCAGCCTTCTCAGGCTGTTCTCTAGCTCCCTAAAGGAGACTGCTTCATAGCTTCCTGGTCCTGGGTGGTCTACAGGCTTCCCCACCCAAACCCTGCCCTGCCTGTGCATGACTCCTGTTCACCTGGACAGACCTGCCCCTGACCTTAGGCTTCCAAGTCTCTGAAAGGTCCAGGGCCCTTCTCCAATGGAGAATTGGACCTGTCCAGCCTGGTCCAGACGTCCCTCCTTCCGAGCTGTGCAGAAATCTGGCTTCCCCACAGTGAACAGGCTTCAGATTCTTTAAAACATACCGCGGCTTGGCCCCTGTATTCCTTGACTCTCTGCCAAACCTATTACACGTGTCTGAGCAGCAAGGGACTGGAAGAATTACGATTTCCATTTGGCTTCTGCGGCCGCTTAGTCTAATTTGCACTGGCTTTGAAATATAGCGATTGCTGTTTTTGTTGTTTGGACTTGGGGGCTGTTTTAAGTCCTGTTTCTTTTCTCCCCCTTTCTCTTAGCTCTTTCTCTTTCTGGGATGGGGCTGCGGGAGAAGAAATAAAAAGTGAAAAAAATTGAAGCTCAGCTGCCACCATCAGACACCCCTCTCCTGCATGGATTCATTTGCTCCAGCACCGGATTTCATTAACTGAAGGGCTACATTGCCAGCCAAGGCACAATAATGAGTTTGTAGCCACTCAGAACATATGGAATGTTTTTACCATTAGCTCCAATTCTTGACTTGAAAGGGGGTGTGAGCAGGGCAGTTTAAGCAGCATTCTATTATCCGCGTGGGGATGCGTGAAGGAGCCTGGATCTCTTCTCTTCCCCATCACCTCCCTCCATCCTTCAGCCTCTGCCAGCCCTCCCATGGGAGAACGCAGCCATGGAAATGAATGCAAGTTCACGGAATCAAGAACTCTTCTTGCCAAAGGAAGTTGCCAATCACCTCTAGGCTGCCAATTCTACTCGGATCTCTTCCATCCTTTTCTACTTGACTTCTTGGCAGTATGTGACACTAGCGACCACTCTTCCATAACCTAGAATGGGTTCTGAGATGTAGGTTTCTCTTGCTTTTCTTCTTACCTTTCTGGCAGATTCTTCCTCTGTCTATATTTTCAGGTTCGTTTGTACATGTTTAGAAGCATCCTCATTGCTATCTAAGTTGAGGGGATTGGGGAAATCAAAATAAAATAACTACCACAGGACTTTCCAGCTACTTTCCTAGCTCCCGTGTCTCTCTTCTTTTGCTCTACCTCTCTCTCCTTCTTCACATAGACTTTAAATGCCAGTTGCTGGTTGGGCATTGGAGGATGAGGAACTATAGCTGCTGGCCTGGAGGACCTCATGGTCTATGGCCTCATGGTCTATGGGATCACTTCACTTCCCTCTCACGCTCCACTCCTAAATTTTCCAGCAAACACATGCTTCTGGACTCCCAAATGGCAGAGACTAATGCATTTTCCAAGTTATCTTCTTTGGTTATAGAAACTCTCCAATAGAATGGCATGAACCCAGGAGGCGGAGCTTGCAGTGAGCCGAGATCCCGCCACTGCACTCCAGCCTAGGCGACAGAGAGAGACTCCTTCTCAAGGAAAAAAAAAAAAAAAAAATCGAAATTCTCCAATAGACTCTAACCTAATTGGAGTTTAGGATTCATGTCAGAAATGTAGAGACAGGAAGTATTTTATAACCGGTAACTCACTTAGTAGAAGGTCAAGGGGATTCACAGAGGGGATGTTACTTATTCAAGAACACGCAGTATGGGAGTGGCTGGTTCACAGCATTTCCCTTGGAACATTCTCCTGAACCACCATCCTCATCACAAATGCATACTTTAAGAACTGGAATGAATTCTCTAGCAGATGCTCTCGCTGCCCTATGCAGGTCCCATTTGCTTGGCCAGTGCACTCACCCTCCTCCCCCAGCTACTGCAGCTGTCAGTAGCTAAGGGCATCCAGCTGCTTTCTTCTGTGGAGGCTTAATCTTGGCTGATGGAGCCCTTTCCCTAGGGATGCCTGGGAGATCAAGTTCCCCAGTCACCATGAAGTGCAGCCCATGACCAGTGACTTTTGTGTGGGAATCAAGGCCCAGCTGTCTTGCATTTGGGCAGGAAAACGTCCTTGCTGCAGTTTATGCTCAGGCTCCCAGAGGAATCAGGCTGTCCAGGCTTCTACTGAAGCCACGTTGTTGTCTAGCCTCTTCCCTACCTTGTCCTGCTTCCCTCGCTCCCCTCCAGGTTCCTCCCCCATCTCAGGCTCAGCTTCTAGGAAACCTGCTCTATGACAATCACCACCACCTCATCTTCTTGGATGGGCCTCATCTCTGAAATTTTAGGGTTGGCCTACAGCATGGCTACTGAGGTGGAGCAGGCAAAATATATGTTATCACGGTCATCTGCATGGCCCAAGAAGTCCAGATGAAGAGGTGGACTCCAGCCCTATCTTCTGAACTAAGAAAGCACCATAGGTCCTTAAAAGATACAAGAGGAAGAAGTGGGGGTTATTTCTCTGGCAGCCAGAGGAGGAAGAGCAAGTGGAAGCGGTTATGAAAAGATGGGATACCACTGCAGGAACGTGAAGCACTGTCTCTTTTCTGCCAAGTGTTACACTGCATGGACACGGCAGTTTAATTTCCTCCAGGCAGACATAGTTTGGATGGCATGAGGCAGCTTAAGTTGCCTTTATCTGAGAAATCACTCAGAATTAACTGACAAGAAGGATCTATATTACAGAAGAGAAAAAATAATCTGGATTGGATTCAAGCGTTTTTCTTTCTCATACTTCTCAACTCACATCTATCCAAGAATGCAGGATGCTCACTGCTGGTACATTCCATCTAAAGTCAGTGTGAAGAAACAACATTTATGGAGGACTTCCTTATGTGCAAGGGGCTCGGCTAGGGAGCGGAAACATGCAGTTTAATGAGAAAGACACATTCACACACATGCAGTACTAGATGACTACATGGTTTCCAACATTGTTTAAATGGGAAAGATTTCTTATTAGAAGGATCTTGTATTTCACTAGCATCTGTCCTTTGAGGAATTCCATCTCCATTGCCAACTCCCAGGTCCAAGCTTCATCCTTTCTTCCCTGAACCAGAGCAATATTCTCCTCACTGGCCTTGGCACATCCAGTTTGCCTCTTTTCCGTTCGATTCCAACACAGTGAGGTTTTACAAATGTCAACCCCATGATGGTGCTTCTTTGCTCCGAGCTCTTTACTGGTCCTCATTGTCTATATTTCTGACCATCACATATAGGGCCCTACTTTTATCTCTCTCCACTGTTGCCCTTGCTGTCTTGACTCCAGCCACACTGGCCTTTAGGAGCATGCTCCTTCCTGCCTCTGGGCCTTCCTCACGTACTCTTCCCTCTTCCTGGAACTCCTACTCAACTTCAGCTCTCAACTCACCATACTTCCTCAGGAAAGCCTTCTCTGCCCTTCCAGAGCAGGTCAGCCTCCCCTTTATAAGCCCTCATGTTCCCCAAACTTCTCCTTTGTTGCATGGTTGAACATTATTTATTGACTAAGAAATGTGTATTTGGGGCCGGGCGCGGTGGCTTATGCCTGTAATCCCAGCACTTTGGGAGGCCAAGGTGGGCAGATCACCTGAGGTCAGGAGTTTGAGACCAGCCTGACCAACATGGAGAAACCCTGTCTCTACTAAAAATACAAAAAATAAATCAGGTGTGGTGGCGCATGCCTGTAATCTCAGCTACTCGGGAGGCTGAGGCAGGAGAATCACTTGAATCTGGGAGGCAGAGGTTGCGGTGAGCTGAGATCGTGCCATTGCATGCCAGACTGGGGAACAAGAGTGAAACTCTGTCTCAAAAAAAAAAAGTATAATTAATTGGTGGTTTGTCTGTCTTATTTACTGCTATATCCCCAGAGTCTATCACAGTGCCATGCATGCTGTAGGCCGTCAATTTGTTTGATCAATTATTGATTTAAAATTGATGTTAAATCAGACAAAATGATCCTATGGCACCTATATTTGAGCTCTCTCACTCATTTTCTGTCTCTTTTTTGTTCCTATAAAATCCTTGGGCTAGTATGTCATACATAGCCTGATAATAACAGTAGCACCAACCATAAATAACATTTGTTAAATTCTTTTAAGTTTCATAAAATACCTTCGCATGCATTTCAAAAAGCCTGTGAGGCAGTATGTCCACGTTACAGATGGGAAAATCAACACCCAGTAGAATGTAGGTAGTTGGCAGATGCTGAAGGTAGCTGTGCCATGTATTAGCTGTGGGACCTTAGACAAGTCAGGGAAATTTTCTAAGCCTCAGTTCCTTCAGGGGCAAATAAATCTTTTCCTGATCGTCTCCATAGCACCTCTGCCTATCCCCATCATGGTGAGCTTCATATTGTATTTTAATTTTTTAAAACATTGATCTCTCTCCTACACCAGACCCAAAGCACTCTGAGGCCAAGGATTATGTATTATTCAGTGTTGCATCCTGGATTCCATACAGTGTCTGGCATACTGTAGGTCCTCAAAGTGTTCAGTGAATAGGAATCTAATAAGATGACATGTGGGGAAAGCGCTCCAAATCATGATACTAACATGGTGACCACTGAATCATCAGCATGGGGCAGGAGAAGATCTTGAGCTTTGGATTCAGGCAGACCTGAGATGTAGACAGACTGCTCCTCTGATCTGCTGCCGGGGCTGCTCTGACGGTGAAACCTCATTGCTTGGCACATGAGAGGGACTCAATATGGTGTGGCCCTATTATCTAAAATTGCTGCTTAAACTTATCTTGTGAGGTCCAGTGGCACAGTATGTCTCTGTGATTTGTATGGAAACTTCTAGGTCCTTGATTCATTAAGAATCACTCAGAATTGCTATTGATGGTTGCTGTTACTGTTATTACCAGGCTTTGACATACCAGCCCAAGGATTTTGTAGGGAAACAAGGAGACAGGGATGCCTTTGAAGGCTGTAATTGCAAACTTGAGTCACTAAATCATCCCCTGATTGGTTCGTCTCTTAATTTTGACTGTGTATGTCGAGTCATTTTCACTGTCTATTGAGCTACTCAATTAAACCCTCATATTTTCTCACCTAAGGGATGGGCAGTGATTGAAAGCTGGCAACAAGCCCATATTTCTCTGCCTCTTATTTTCTCACGTATCTCCTAGGAAATACTATTCGATCTGAAGAAGTACTTAAGGAAATATTAATTTTTTTCTAACAGTTATTTATCTGTCAGCATGTTTCTCCACTTCTGCGTACTTGGTTAGGATAGCCTTATGGGGTCATTTGTCTCTCAAGCAACCATGGTGGGTGTGTGTGTGTCTGTGTGTCTGTGTGTGTGTATATATGTCTCTGTAGGCATGCATATATGTATGTGCTTCTGTGTGTGCATGTCTGTATGTGTAGGTTTGGGGGCAGTCAAGAGTGAGTGACCGTGGGTCATGACATAAACAAGAATCAAGTAATGGCAGTGTTATTAGTATTTTTTAAGTCTAATTTCAATTGGTTCATGTGTCTGGGCGATATTTGTTTACACAGCCTTGTTATTTATGGCACATGGTGAAACTGGGCTAAGAAATGAATTTACAGCCTGGAATAAGACAAATAAATCTTGGTAATAACGTCTCCCCTAACAGTCCCATTAAGGGCCCTCACATCTATGGCTTAGCTATGTTTTGCTCAAAACACATTCTGGGGTCTTAAAAAGCCCAAGCTTCATGGGAGGCACTTTTCTTTCCCCACAAACTCTCCTTTAAATGGAGTTTATCTCCCAGGCCACTGTCAGTAACCCTCTCAGTATACACTATCTAAAACTCCTAAATCAAAGGGGTAAATGGTACAAACAGAACATTCATATATGAAGAAATGCAAGTAGAAATTGCATACCCTGGAAAATGCTCAACCTCGCTGGTTATCAAAAGAAAATATGGACATTCCATTTTATCTCTATTTTTTACATATATATTTTTATTATACTTTAAGTTCTAGGGTACATGTGCACAACATGCAGGTTTGGTACATATGTATGCATGTGCCATGTTGGTGTGTTGCACCCATTAACTCGTCATTTACATTAGGTATATCTCCTAATGCTATCCCTCCCCACTCCCCCCATCTCACAACAGGCCCCGGGGTGTGATGTTCCCCTTCCTGTGTCCAAGTGTTCTCATTGTTCAGTTCCCACCTATGAGTGAGAACATGCAGTGTTTGGTTTTTTGTCCTTGTGATAGTATGCTGAGAATGATGGTTTCCAGCTTCATCCATGTCCTTACAAAGGACATGAACTCATCATTTTTTATGGCTGCATAGTATTCGGTGGTGTATATGTGCCACATTTTCTTAATCCAATCTATCATTGTTGGACATTTGGGTTGGTTCCAAGTCTTTGCTATTGTGAGTAGTGCTGCAATAAACATATGTGTGCATGTGTCTTTATAGCAGCATGATTTATAACCCTTTGGGTATATACCCAGTAATGGGATGGGTGGGTCAAATGGTATTTCTAGTTCTAGATCCCTGAGGAATCGCCACACTGACTTCCACAATGGTTGAACTAGTTTACAGTCCCACCAACAGTGTAAAAGTGTTCCTATTTCTCCACATCCTCTCCAGCACCTGTTGTTTCCTGACTTTTTAATGATTGCCATTCTAACTGGTGTGAGACGGTATCTCATTGTGGTTTTGATTTGCACTTCTCTGATGACCAGTGATGGTGAGCATTTTTTCATGTGTCTGTTGCCTGCAAAATTTGTTTTCTTTTGAGAAGTGTCCGTTCATATCCTTCACCCACTTGTTGATGGGGTTGTTTTTTTCTTGTAAATTTGTTTGAGTTCTTTGTAGATTCTGGATATTAGCCCTTTGTCAGATGAGTAGATTGCAAAAATTTTCTCCCATTCTGTAGGTTGCCTGTTCACTCTGGTGGTAGTTTCTTTTGCTGTGCAGAAGCTCTTTAGTTTAATGAGATCCCATTTGTCAATTTTGGCTTTTGTTGCCATTGCTTTTGGTGTTTTAGACATGAAGTCCTTGCCCATGCCTATGTCCTGAATGGTATTGCCTAGGTTTTCTTCTAGGGTGTTTATGGTTTTAGGTCTAACATTTAAGTCTTTAATCCATCTTGAATTAATTTTTGTATAAGGTGTAAGGAAGGGATCCAGTTTCAGCTTTCTACATGTGGCTAGCCAGTTTTCCCAGCACCATTTGTTAAATAGGGAATCCTTTCCCCATTTCTTGTTTTTGTCAGGTTTCTCAAAGATCAGATAGTGGTAGATATGTGGCATTGTTTCTGAGGGCTCTGTTATGTTCCATTGGTCTATATCTCTGTTTTGGTACCAGTACCATGCTGTTTTGGTTACTGTAGCCTTGTAGTATAGTTTGAAGTCAGGTAGTGTGATGCCTCCAGCTTTGTTCCTTTGGCTTAGGATTGACCTGGCAATGCAGGCTCTTTTTTGGTTCCATATGAACTTTAGAGTACTTTTTTCCAATTCTGTGAAGAAAGTCATTGGTAGCTTGATGGGGATGGCATTGAATCTATAAATTACCTTGGGCAGTATGGCCATTTTCATGATATTGATTCTTCCTATCCATGAGCATGGGATGTTCTTCCATTTGTTTGTGTCCTCTTTTATTTCGTTGAGCAGTGGTTTGTAGTTCTCCTTGAAGGGGTCCTTCACATCCCTTGTAAGTTGGACTCCTAGGTATTTTATTATCTTTGATGCAATTGTGAATGGGAGTTTACTCATGATTTGGCTCTCTGTTTGTCTGTTATTGGTGTATAAGAATGCTTGTGATTTTTGAACATTGATTTTGTATCCTGAGACTTTGCTGAAGTTGCTTATCAGCTTAAGGAGATTTTGGGCTGAGACGATGGGGTTTTCTAGATATACAATCATGTCATCTGCAAACGGACAATTTGACTTCCCCTTTTCCTAATTGAATACCCTTTATTCTTTCTCCTGCCTGATTGCCCTGGCTAGAACTTCCAACACTATGTTGAATAGGAGTGGTGAGAGAGGGCATCCCTGTCTTGTGCCAGTTTTCAAAGGGAATGCTTCCAGTTTTTGCCCATTCAGTATGATATTGGCTGTGGGTTTGTCATAAATAGCTCTCATTATTTTTAGATATGTCCCATCAATACCTAGTTTATTGAGAGTTTTTAGCATGAAGGGCTGTTGAATTTTGTCAAAGGCCTTTTCTGCATCTATTGAGATAATCATGTGGTTTTTGTCTTTGGTTCTGTTTATATGCTGGATTACATTTATTGATTTGCATATTTTGAACTAGCCTTGCATCCCAGGGATGAAGCCCACTTGATCTTGGTGGATAAGCTTTTTGATGTGCTGCTGGATTCGGTTTGCCAGTATTTTATTGAGGATTTTTGCATCGATGTTCATCAGGGATATTGGTCTAAAATTCTCTTTTTTTGTTGTGTCTCTTCCAGGCTTTGGTATCAGGATGATGCTGGCCTCATAAAATGAGTTAGGGAGGATTCCCTCTTTTTCTATTGATTGGAATAGTTTCAGAAGGAATGGTACCAGCTCCTCCTTGTACCTCTGGTAGAACTTGGCTGTGAATCCGTCTGGTCCTGGAGTTTCTTGGTTCCTAAGCTGTTAATCATTGCCTGAATTTCAGAGCCTGTTATTGGTCTATTCAGAGATTCAACTTCTTCCTGGTTTAGTGTCTTGGGAGGGGGTATATGTTGAGGAATTTATCCATTTCTTGTAGATTTTCTAGTTTATTTGTGTAGAGGTGTTTGTAGTATTCTCTGATGGTAGTTTGTATTTCTGTGGGATTGGTGCTGATATCCCCTTTATCATTTCTTATTTCGTGTATTTGATTCTTCTCTCTTTTCTTCTTTATTAGTGTTGCTAGTGGTCTATCAATTTTGTTGATCTTTTAAAAAAACCAGCTCCTGGATTTACTGATTTTTTGAAGGGTTTTTTGTGTCTCTATCTCCTTCAGTTCTGCTCTGATCTTAGTTATTTCTTGCCTTCTGCTAGCTTTTGAATGTGTTTACTCTTGCTTCTCTAGTTCCTTTAATTGTGATGTTAGGGTGTCAATTTTAGATCTTTCCTGCTTTCTTTTGTGGGCATTTAGTGCTATAAATTTCCCTCTACACACTGCTTTGAATGTGTCCCAGAGATTCTGGTATGTTGTGTCTTTGATCTCGTTGGTTTCAAAGAACATCTTTATTTCTGCCTTCATTTCGTTATGTACCCAGTAGTCATTCAGGAGCCAGTTGTTCAGTTTCCATGTAATTGAGTGGTTTTGAGTGAGTTTCTTAATCCTGAGTTCTAGTTTGATTGCACTGTGGTCTGAGAGACAGTTTGTTATAATTTCTGTTCTTTTACATTTGCTGAGGAGTGCTTTACTTCCAACTATGTGGTCAATTTTGGAATAGGTGCGTTGTGGAGCTGAGAAGAATGTGTATTCTGTTGATTTTGGGTGGAGAGTTCTGTAGATGTCTATTAGGTCCATGTGGTGCAGAGCTGAGTTCAATTCCTGGATATCCTTGTTAACTTTCTGTCTCATTGATCTGTCTAATGTTGACAGTGGGGTGTTAAAGTCTCCCATCATTATTGTGTGGGAGTCTAAGTCTCTTCGTAGGTCTCTAAGGACTTGCTTTATGAATCTGGGTGCTCCTGTATTGGGTGCATATATATTTAGGATAGTTAGCTCTTCTTGTTAAATTGATCCCTTTACCATTATGTAATGGCCTTCTTTGTCTCTTCTGATCTTTGTTAGCTTAAAGTCTGTTTTATCAGAGACTAGGATTGCAACCCCTGCCTTTTTTTGTTTTCCATTTGCTTGGTAGATCTTCCTCCATCCCTTTATTTTGAGCCTATGTGTGTCTCTGCATGTGAGATGGGTTTCCTGAATACAGCACACTGATGGGTCTTGACTCTTTATCCAATTTCCCAGTCTGTGTCTTTTAATTGGATCATTTAGCCCATTTACATTTAAGGTTAATATTGTTATGTGGAATTTGATCCTGTCATTATGATGTTAGCTGGTTATTTTGCTCGTTAGTTGATGCAGTTTCTTCCTAGCATCGATGGTCTTTACAATTTGGCATGTTTTTTCAGTGGCTGGTACCAGTTGTTTCTTTCCATGTTTAGTGCTTTCTTCAGGAGCTCTTGTAGGGAAGGCCTGGTGGTGACAGAATCTCTCAGCATTTGCTTGTCTGTAAAGTATTTTATTTCTCCTTCACTTATGAAGCTTAGTTTGGCTGGATATGAAATTCTGGGTTGAAAATTCTTTCAGAATGTTGAATATTGGCCCCCACTGTCTTCTGGCTTGTAGAGTTTCTGCCAAGAGATCAGCTGTTAGTCTGATGGGCTTCCCTTTGTGGGTAACCCGACCTTTCTCTCTGGCTGCCCTTAACATTTTTTCCTTCATTTCAACTTTGGTGAGTCTGACAATTATGTGTCTTGAAGTTGCTCTTCTCGAGGAGTATCTTTGTGGCATTCTCTGTATTTCCTGAATTTGAATGTTGGCCTGCCTTGCTAGATTGGGGATGTTCTCCTGGATAATATCCTGCAGAGTGCTTTCCAACTTGGTTCCATTCTCCCCATCACTTTCAGGTACACCAATCTGACGTAGATTTTGTCTTTTCACATAGTCCCATATTTCTTGGCAGTTTTGTTCGTTTATTTTAATTCTTTTTTCTCTAAACTTCTCTTCTCGCTCCATTTCATTCATTTGCTCTTCAATCACTGACACCCTTTCTTCCAGTTGATCGAATCAGCTACTGAAGCTAGTGCATTCATCAGATAGTTCTCATGCCATGGTTTTCAGCTCCATCAGGTCCTTTATGGACTTCTCTGCATTGCTTATTCTAGTTAGCCATTTGTCTAATCTTTTTTCAAGGTTTTTAACTCATTTGCGATGGGTTCAAACTTCCTCCTTTAGCTCGGAGAATTTTGATCATCTGAAGCCTTTTTCTCTCAACTCGTCAAAGTCATTCTCTGTGTGGCTTTGTTCCGTTCCTGGTGAGGAGCTGCATTCCTTTGGAGGAGAAGAGGTGCTCTGATTTTTAGAATTTTCAGTTTTTCTGTTCTGTTTTTTCCCCATGATTGTGGTTTTATCTACCCTTGGTCTTTGATGATAGTGACATACAGATGGGGTTTTGGTGTGGATGTCCTTTCTGTTTGTTAGTTTTCCTTTTAACAATCAGGACCCTCAGCTGCAGGTTTGTTGGAGTTTGCTGGAGGTCCACTCCAGACCCTGTTTGCCTCGGTATCAGCAGCAGAGACTGCAGGACAGCAAATATTGCTGAACAGCAAATGTTGCTGTCTGATCATTCCTCTGGAGGTTTCGTCTCAGAGGGGTACCCAGCATTGTGAGGTGTCTGTCTGCCCCTACTGGGTGGCACCTCCCAGACAGGCTACTTGGGGGTCAGGGACCCACTTGAGGAGGCAGTCTGTTCGTTTTCAGATCTCAGACTCTGTGCTAGGAGAACCACTACTCTCTTCAAAGCTGTCAGACAGGAACATTTAAGTCTGCAGAGGTTTCTGCTACCTTTTGTTCGGCTATGCCCTGCCTCCAGAGGTGGTCTATAGAAGCAGGCAGGCGTCCTTGAGCTGTGGTGGGCTCCACCCAGTTTGATTTTCCCTGCTGCTTTGTTTCCCTACTCAAGCCTCAGCAATGGCTGGCGCCCCTCCCCCAGCCTCAGTGCCGCCTTGCAGTTTGATCTCAGACTGCTGTGCTAGCAACGAGCAAGGCTCTGTGTGCATGGCACCCTCTGAGCCAGGCGTGGGATATAATCTCCTGGTGTGCTGTTTGCTAAGACCATTGGAAAAGTGCAGTATTAGGGTGGGAGTGACCCAGTTTTCCAGGTGCCATCTGTCACAGCTTTGTTTGGCTATGAAAGGGAATTCCCTGACCCCTTGTGCTTCCCGGGTGAAGCGATGCCTCGCCCTGCTTTGGCTCACGCTCGGTGCGCTGCACCCACTGTCCTGCACCCACTGTCTGACAAGCCCCAGTGAGATGAACCCGGTACCTCAGTTGGAAATGCACAAATCACCTGTCTTCTGCGTCACTCACGCTGGAGCTGTAGACTGGAGCTGTTCCTATTCGGCCATCTTGGAACCGCCCATCAAATGTCCTTTTTTGAGAAGTGTCTGTTCATATGCTTCGCCCACTTGTTGATGGGGTTGTTTGTTTTTTTCTTGTAAATCTGTTTGAGTTCTTTGTAGATTCTGGATAGTAGCCCTTTGTCAGATGAGTAGATTGCAAAAATTTTCTCCCATTCTGTAGGTTGCCTGTTCACTCTGATGGTAGTTTCTTTTGCTGTGCAGAAGCTCTTTAGTTTAATTACCATTTTATCTCTATTATATAATAAAAAATAGTAGCCATTCAGATGACCAATGCTGGCTGGATAGCTACTTTAATGGCATACTTATAGACTATGCAGCAATGCAAATTAGTAAAACATTTTTGCAGGGTAATTTGGCAGGACATATCCAGAACTATAAGCTGCTTCATACCTGTTGGCCCAACGTTTCTCCACATCAGCATGGAAAATGAAGAAATAATTCAATGAAAGAGGACAAATTCCTGATGTGCCTGAAACTCTTTTGGGCAACATTATCTACATTATGTAAAACTGAAAATGCCTTCCGACAGTGAGAGAATCATTAAGTAAGTTTACGTAATCATTGTGTAGTCACTCACTGAAATATTATAAGGTTATTAAAAAAGAGATTATAACGACTAGAGAAACAATAAAAATGTACACAATATAGTGTTCAGAGGAAAAGGAGGAGACAAATCTAATCTATGATCACAAAGTAAATATGTAAATGCATATGACAAAACTAGAGGGGATAATTCAAAGTTTCTTTATAAAAAGATTATTGTATAAATATGTGTTTTCTGTGCTAGTGTGCTGTTTAGAGGTATACATGTCTGTGTCAAAATAACACATTTTCTTTTCAAGCATTATTTTTGATATTAAAAATACTGGGAATGCTGAAAAAGGCAGGATAGCATAGTTGTTAATAGTTGTGGAATTAAACAAGTAATGAAATCTCAGGCACGTACTGGTGGTGCAACCTTCAGAAAATTATTTCACTTCTCTGAGCCTCAGTTTCTGCATTAGTAAAATGGAAATAAAAATACAACTTGCGTTTGTGGACTCTGGTGGGGATTCAATGAGGCAATGTGCATAAAAAATTTACTGCAATACTTGATGTAGCTAACTTGCCATACCTTTTTATTGTTACATGTATATGATGAATCTCTCTCTCATGTTTTGAAAAACACAGAGATTGACTACATGACTTCCATTTCATCACAGATCATTAACTAAAACCAATCATGGTCATCCCATCTCCTTGCCAGTAATTGATCCAGGCATTGATATGTGAGCTAATCCTAGTCACTGGGGCTTGAGGGGAAAATCATAAAAATAGTTGGTCTATTTTCTTCTTTTGGCCATTATCACATCTAGAGGTAACACTTGGACCTGTGGCCTCATTCATCTTCTGAGGATGGAGCCAACACTAAGAATGGCAAAACAGAGGGATAAGAAGAATCTGGGCTCTAGATGACATCAACGACCCTTTGGATCAGCAACACTAAAGTCCACCCTACTATGAGTCTTCCAAAGATACAAGATGTGTTTTCTTTATTAATCAGTTTGAATTAAGGCATTCATATACTTGCAGTCAAAAGTATCCTGATATAATCATGATACAATGGATATCTTTTTTGGGGAGTCCTAGTCCTGAACTTTAATGATCATAAAATTAATTAACCTATAAATGTCATCCTGCTACTCTAATGCCTGCCTTTCATTTCTATTATCACTGAACTCCAGACCTCTCTTTGAACTTCAGACCTTTCTATGTACTGTCAAGTTGACAGCAACTCTTGGATGTTTGAAAAGACACAGCCCAAACTTAAAATGTTCAAAACTGGACTAAGGATCTCTCTATGTGCGTTCTCGTTCTCTCTCTCTCTCTCTCTCCTCTCTCTCTCTCTCTCACACACACACACACACACACACACACACACACACACACACACACACACCCTTCTCCCATCATTCCTTGTCTCAGGGAACATAACCACCATCTATCCAAATACACAAGCCAGACCTCATGGTCTTGACAGATTCCTTTCTCTTATTTGTTGTATTCAATCTGTCACCAAATCCCAATCCATTACACTTCCTAAATGTCCTTGAATCTGTCCACTTCTCTTTGTTTCCCCCATTGCTACCCCAGTCCAGCCTGAAATTATCTTTTACTTGGCCACGAAAAGAGCCTTATGATAAGTTTCTCCCCATTGACTATTTCTCCCTTCCAATCTATTCTTTAATCAGGCCAGATATGTATTTTTTTGAAATGCAAATCCAATCATGTCACCTTTCTGCTTAAAATTATTTACTGTCTTCCATTTGCTGTTAGAATAAAGGCAAAAAGTTTGAGCATAGTCTAAGGGACTCTACACGGGCATAGAGAGGGGCCCAGCCTCATTTTGATCCAAATATCCACTCATCATTTTTTCCCAGCCTTGGGAAACATTTTTTTCTAGTTTCTTTTCTATATGCCATGTTTCTATCTTCAGAGGACTTGTACGTGTTCTGTTTTCTCATCAGAGAAAGATTTTTCTTCCTTTTTATGCCAACCTAACTTGTATTAATATTTTAGATCTTGGCTCAACTGTCATTCTTTTTATGAAGAATTTCAAGATCAAGTCACATCTCCCTGTTATACACACCCATGTGGCTCCCAATTGGCAAGTAAAGCCCACTGCAATTTTGCATTTATTTGCATAATTGTGTGATCAAGGTCTGTTTCTTCTTTGGTAGACTGTAAATTTTTATTGCTTACCATACTCTCTACAACAAGTATTTGCTGAATGATCAATGGATGAATGAACATTGTCCCAATCCAGACCCTTCATATTCATATTCATATTATGAGGTTACAGCCATAGCCTCATGTATTAGTTCATCTTCATGCTGCTGATAAAGAAATGCCCGACGTGGTGGTACATGCCTGTAATTGCAGCTACTCAGGAAGCTGAGGCAGGAGAATCACTCGAACCTGGGAGGTGGAGGTTGCAGTAAGCCGAGATCGCGCCATTGTACTCCAGCCTGGGCAACAAGAATGAAACTCCATCTCAAAAAAAAAAAAAAAAAAAAAAAAGAAAAAAAAGAAATTCCTCAAACTGGGAAGAAAAAGGGGTTTAATGGACTTACACTTCCACATGGCTGGGGAGGCCTCACAATCATGGTGGAAGGCAAGGAGGAGCAAATCATGTCTTAAATGGATGGCCACAGTCAAAGAGAAGAGAGCTTGTGCAGGGAAACTCCTCTTTGTAAAACCATCAGATCTCATGACACTTATTCACTGTCACGAGAACAGCATGAGAAAGACCCGCCCCTATGATTCAGTTACCTCCCACCAGGTCCCTCCCATGACACATGGGAATTGTGGGAGTTACAATTCAAAATGAGATTTGGGTGGGGGCACAGCTAAACCATATCACCTTATAAAACGGTCTTTGTCTCTCCTATACTTTGACCCTTCTATGCTGTACCAGTTAACTCTGAACCATTAATCTGATTGCAGGTTTTTTCTGCATAAAATTATCCATTGATTCTCCATTGCCTAGAGAACAAAGTGTGTTTTATTCCCAGCCTAAGTTTTCAATCCTATCTCCTAATTCTACTCTTGCTACTGCCCTAGTGCTTTTGTTCTTTAACATGTGGTCACACCCAACTACTTGCTGTTCCTGACACTGTTGTCCTTCCTAGTCTTGTTCATGCTGTTCCCCCCAACCAGAACCCCATTCTACCATCACTCCCTATCAAAATGTTATCCATTTCTAAAGTCAGAGTATGGGCCTTCGGCTTAAATTTTCCTGTAATTCCTTTGATTAGTATTAACTTCCCCTTTCTCAGTACTCTCATAGTCTGAGATATCAGGCACAAAATTGGCTGATATTGATAATATGCCTTAACCACTACACCCAGAGTTATCTTGCATGACACTAAAAGAAAACAGATGTATGATCCATGATTCTGTGCAATAAAGAATCTTATTTTTAACTTCAATCCTGGGATAGGCTGTATTGGTGTTCAGATATTTGCTACTCTCCCCTGGGAGCCTGAGTCAGTGTAGGGCTCTGGAATTTGGGATAGTAGAGAGACAGAAAGGTGGGAAAGAGGAACAGCCATGCATGGAGATGTGAAGTCAGCCACAGGCACATACTCCTGTACCTGCTGTGTTGCTCAGCTGCATTTCCCAGCCACTTTACTCCACTACAGGACTCTTTGGGTCCCTCCCAAAATTCAATGTTCTGTAATCCCCTTTAGGCACAGAGGAAGGAGTTCTTGTCCTTGACACACAGTTATTCTTCAAAACACATTTACCTAAGTGAAAATAAATGCATCAATGTAAAGAAAGAAATACCAAGTAAACGATTGTTCATGCTGGCAGTGGGCAGATGACTGAGGTCTGAGAAACAGGGCCACACTCTGTAGAGCTGCCCACAGATAATTCTGCCTGTCAGCCCTCAAGCAGACTTCCTCCAGGCAGCCTGGCCAGGAAGCATTTGAAAGAAAATTAAAGCAGCCACTTGCCATTTTGTTGTTCACTTCTTTTTAATGGTTCTTGAGTTGTTGACTTTTCTCCCTTATAAATAAGTGGAAAACGTCCTGAGCTGACGGATAAGACTTGATTTCCTCCTGGGAATTTACTAGACAAACAGGCACTGGTTGGAGACTTGGAAAGATAGAAGAAAGGCAACTTTTGAAAACAGGGAAGTAGAGATACTGCTGAGAATGAAATGCGAAGAAAGCAAGTCAACAAAGCAACCCCTCACTTCCTCAGGCCTTCTTTGCACAGCAGAAAAATGTAAATCATGCCACTGTCTTTTCAAATTAGTCTTTTAGATCTTTGCTTTTAAAAAAAGAAAAATCCTGTAGTTCTCCACTAGAGAATGTAATGCTTTGGACAAAACCTTTCAGCCTTGAGCAGAGAGAGGAGTGCCTCTATCTGTTTCTGGGGGAGAGCAGCACTGTTTGCAGGACCAAAATTGAGCCCAGTGAGGGGGGCTGGCGAGGGTCTGGAGCAAATTACAGTGTGTGGACAAGCCTGTGGCCACCTGGATCTCTGGATAATAAGCACTGTGCCAGGGTCTTTAATTGCTTTCTGGACCTGAAACAAAAGCTTCAACCATCAATCTGGCTATTACCCCAACACCTCATGGTGCTAACCCTTCAATTACCCTGTCTCTGTGTGCTACCCACCAGATCATTAACTCCCACGCGGCTTCAAGCTGCATATTAGGTAAATTCCCTGTGATCCCATTCCAGTGTTTCTCGGGTGAAACTGGAACGTGGCTCTCATTTTGGGAGGGATGCATTCATTGCATTCTGGGAATGATGATGAAGGCTGCCTGTCTCCAGCCAGGCTCTGCTACTGAATATCCGGGGCTCCTGATTCACGGCGTTATCTGTCTATAATTGAAGGGCTTACTACCCACTCTGCCTATCCACAGAATATAATGAGATGCTGTGGAAAACTACTGAACATTTAAAAGATGTGCACCAGTGCAAGGTTGTGGGCCCGCTGAGAGATCGGAATTCTTTGTTGTTTCCTACCCCTCTCCTCGTACTGTCTCCAAAGGAGACTGAAGTTCAAGGTCACTTTTTGGGAGGAAGTGTAGAAAGAAGGACACATGACAAAGCCATTAACACTTTGAGCTCAGCATCAGGCTGTTCTTTTCTTCTTTCTCTTTCAATTCTTCTCTTCTTTTTTCTCACAAAGCAAGTACTATACAATGAACCCGGGTTTGCTCTTTTGGGGCAGTTCTTCACCCTGAGAACCCCAGGACTACCAAGAACAGTGGCTTTAGTGATTCAGGTAACCCAGTGTTGCACTAGTAAATGTTTCACAATGGCTCTCAGGAAAATAAAATAAAATGTCCTGATTTGTAATGTTTTTACAAATTTCTGTATTTGTGAATACTCCCTTTAAGGCCAATTTCTTGCTGCCAATGTGATGTCACTTATCAAGGGCTGAATTGTGTTCCCCCCAAATTCACATGAAGTCTAAACCCCTAGTACCCTAGAATGTGGTACTAGGGGGTTGAAGATAGGGCCTTAAAAGAGGTAATTAAGGTAAAATGAGGTCATATGGGTAGACTCTAATCCAGCATGACTGGTGTCCTTATAAGAAGATTAGGGGCCGGGCGTGGTGGCACATGCCTGTAATCCCAGCACTTTGAGAGGCCGATGCAGGTGGATCACCTGAGGTCAGGAGTTCGAGACCAGCCTGACCAACATGGCGAAACCACGTCTCTACTAAATACAAAAAAATTGGCTAGGCATGGTGGTACATGCCTGTAATCCCAGCTACTTGGGAGGCTGAGGCAGAGGAATCGCTTGAACCCAGGAGGTGGAGGTTGCAGTGAGCCGAGATCACACCATTGCACTTCAACCTGGGCAACAAGCATGAAACTCTGTCTCAAAAAAAAAAAAAAAAAAAAAAAAAAAAAAAAAAATTAGGACACAAACACACAGAGGGAAGACCACTTGGAGGCACATGGAGAAGATGGCCACCTGCAAGCCAAGGAAAGAGGCCTCAGAAGAAACCAACCCTGCCCGACACCCTGATCAAGGACTTCTATCCTCTTGCATGGTGAGAAAGTAAATCTCTATTGTTTCAGCCACCCAGTCTATAGCATTTTGTTATGGCAGCCCTGGTAGACTAAAACATCACCAAATGCAGAATTGGGAAAAGATGAGCTCCCTGGTTCTCTTGGACCATAGGAGCTGGCTTAGGCACTCCAGCCAGGCCAGCTCTCTTACCCTTTTGTTTCCTGGCATTCTTTTCCTCAAGCTCATCTTTCCTGTCCACTGGAGTGGGAAGACAGAGAGCAGAAAAGTGTGAGTGCATCCAGAGAGAGAAATGGGCAAAAAGACAGCTTGATCTGCTCTGGTCCTGGCCTTGGGCCCATAGCCTTAGGGCTTTCTGCAGGCTGGGCCAGCTCACCAGGATTGGGGTTTGACTTAAGGTTTTGGCTTAAAGTCCCAGTGGTGCTTTGCTTGAAACAGCATAGGTGGGTAGTTGTGGAAGGACAGGATTTGAGCTCAGGATACAGGGTCCCATCCCCACAGGGTCACTTACAGAAGTGGGGTTTTTAATAGGTGCAGTGATGTACTTCAATTACCAGGACAATAATTGCAGGGAAGTTTATGTTCCCTTCCTCTCATTCATTTCTACTTATAATATGAGCCTCAGCTGCCCAATATTGTCACACAAAGGGACATGTGGAGTACTCCAGACAAGAGCCCAGGATCATACTGTGATGCTAATATTCCCATTAGGATAAAAGTAACAAGCTGGCCAATACATGTAGATTAGGGGATCCTCCAAAGAGCACTGACACGGGGGGATTTTGTCCCCATCAGGACAGCCTGAGCCTTACATGCCTGGGGGCTGCTGGGTAACTCCCCAAGTCAGTCTCTTTATTTAGACACCCAGTCTAAGATTTACACCTGTGACAGGTTGTTCAAGAAATGTCTGCGTTCACACTCACATTAGGGTATGTTTCTTCCTACATGAGAGACCTAGGAATTTGGGAATTAATTTAGGTATACCCAGATTAAGAATTATTTTTAAAATGTATACATATTCTTATGTATACACATACATATATTCATATATATTCTTATAAACATATATGTATAAGCATATATGTATGTAAGTATATATACACATAGGTGCATACACATTCACACACCTATACATTAAGGATCATATATAAAATCCCATGTATTTATGAATTATATTTAAAATATAATTAAAGTGAAATATTCTTAATCTTGGTATGCCAAAGTGAGTATATATATTTGGCAAGGAAGTGAGTTCCTTTGAATTTTGGCACCTGACTCTGTTTCCCTCTATTCTCCATGACTAGATTTTATCCTGGTGACTTCAACCCCCAACTTTTCCACCTGATAGACCCTGGATCTATTCCATTTCAATGACCTTGACCTTCAAAAGGCTTTAACCAACCACTCTTATGGCAACATTCTGAATTTTTTTTTTCACATTTTCTTATTGAGATGTAATTCACATGTAAAAATTTTACCTTTATTGGAGTACAGTTGTGAGTTTTGACAAGCAAACATGGTCAAATAACCACTACTGCCGTAAAGATACTGGAACAATTCCATTATCTCAAAACATTTCCCCTGTACCTCTTTGTAGGTAACATCTACTTCTCTGGACTCTGGCAACCAGTGATCTGTGTTCTGCCCCTGTGGTTTTGCCTTTTTGAGGATGTCATACAGATGGAATCAGACAGTATGTCGCTTTTTAATGCTGGCTTCTTTCTCTTAGTGTGATGCATTTGAGATTCATTCGTGTTACTGCATTTATTTTATGGCCGAGTTGTTTTCCCTTATATGGATATACTATAGTTTGCTTATCTGCTCACCAGTTGAAGGACATTTGTGTTGTTTCTAGTCATTGGGAAATTATGATCTCAGAGCTATGACTGTTAACATACTTTTATTTTAAGTTGCCTTTTTATTATTTTTTAACTTTTAAGTTCAACCTAAAACCATTAAAACCCTAGAAGAAAATCTAGGCATTACCATTCAGGACATAGGCATGGGCAAGGACTTCATGTCTAAAACACCAAAAGCAATGGCAACAAAAGCCAAAATTGACAAATGGGATCTAATTAAACTAAAGAGCTTCTGCACAGCAAAGGAAACTACCATCAGAGTGAACAGGCAACCTACAAAATGGGAGAAAATTTTCGCAACCTACTCATCTGACAAAAGGCTAATATCCAGAATCTACAAAGAACTCAAACAAATTTACAAGAAAAAAACAAACAACCCCATCGAAAAGTGGGCGAAGGACATGAACAGACACTTCTCAAAAGAAGACATTTATGCAGCCAAAAAACACATGAAAAAATGCTCACCATCACTGGCCATCAGAGAAATGCAAATCAAAACCACAATGAGATACCATCTCACACCAGTTAGAATGGCAATCATTAAAAAGTCAGGAAACAACAGGTGCTGGAGAGGATGTGGAGAAATAGGAACACTTTTACACTGTTGGTGGGACTGTAAACTAGTTCAACCATTGTGGAAGTCAGTGTGGCGATTCCTCAGGGATCTAGAACTAGAAATACCATTTGACCCAGCCATCCCATTACTGGGTATATACCCAAAGGACTATAAATCATGCTGCTATAAAGACACATGCACACGTATGTTTATTGCGGCGCTATTCACAATAGCAAAGACTTGGAACCAACCCAAATGTCCAACAATGACAGACTGGATTAAGAAAATGTGGCACATATACACCATGGAATACTATGCAGCCATAAAAAATGATGAGTTCATGTCCTTTGTAGGGACATGGATGAAATTGGAAATCATCATTCTCAGTAAACTATCGCAAGAACAAAAAACCAAACACCCCATATTCTCACTCATAGGTGGGAATTGAACAATGAGAACACATGGACACAGGAAAGGGAACATCACACTCTGGGGACTGTTGTGGTGTGGGGGGAGGGGGGAGATATACCTAATGCTAGATAACGAGTTAGTGGGTGCAGCGCACCAACATGGCACATGTATACATATGTAACTAACCTGCACATTGTGCACATGTACCCTAAAACTTAAAGTATAATAATTTAAAAAAAGAAAAAAAAAGTTTGAAAAAAAAAAGTTCAGGGGTATATGTGCGGGCTTGTTACATAGGTAAACTTGTGTCATGGGGGTTTGTTGTACAGATTATTTCATCACCCAGGTTTTAAGCCTAGTATTCATTCATTATTTTCCCTGATTCTCTCTCTTCTCTCACCCTCCATCCTCTGATAAGCCCCAGTGTGTGTTCTTCTCCTGTATACATCCATGTGGTCTCATCATCTAGCTCCTACTTGTAAGTGATAACATACAGTATTTGGTTGTCTGTTCCTGTGTTAGTTTGCTAAGGAAAATGGCTTCCAGCTCCATTCATGTCCCTGCAAAGCACATGATCTCATTCTTTTTTAAGGCTGAATAGTATCCCTATCCCGTGGTGTATATGTGCCACGTTTTCTTTATCTGGTCTATCACTGATGGAAATTTAGGTTGATTCTATGTCTTTGCTATTGTGAATAGTGTTGCAATGAACATATGTGTGCATGTGTCTTCATGATAGAATGATTTATATTTCTTTGGATATATACCCAGCAATGGGATTGCTGGGTGGAAAAGTATTTCTTTTTTTTAGGTCTTTGAGAAATTGCCACACTGTCTTTCACAATAGTTGAACTAATTTACACTCCCACCACCAGTATATAAGCATTCTTTTTTCTCCACAACCTCACCAGCATCTGTTATTTTTTTGACATTTTAGTAATTGCCATTCTGACTGGTGTGAGATGTCATCTCCTTGTGGTTTTGTTGGTGGATCTACCATTCTGGGATATGGAGGATGGCAGACCTCTTCTCAAAGCTCCATTAGACAGTGCCCCAGTGGGGACTATGGGTGGGGGCTCCAACCCCACATTTCCCTTTCACATGGCCCTAACAGAGGTTCTCCATAAGAGCCCCACCCCTGCAGCCGACCTCTGCCTGTACATCCAGGCATTTCCATACATCCTCTGAAATCTAGGTGGAGGTTCCCAAACCTCAGTTCTTGACTTCTGCACACCCACAGCCCCAACATCATGTGGAAGCCACCAAGGCTTGTGGCTTGCACCCTCAGAAGCAATGGCCTGAGCTGTATGTTGGCCCCTTTTAGCCACACTAGGATGCAGGGCACCAAGTCTGGAGACTGCACAAAGTAGCAAGGCCCTGGCCCTGGCCCAGGCCCAGGCCCATGAAACCATTTTTTTCTCCTAGGCCTCTGGGCCTGTGATGGGAGGAGCTTCCATGAAGACCTCTGACATCCCCTGAGGACATTTTCCCCATCGTCTTGTTGATTATCATCTGGCTCCTACTTATGCAAATTTCGCATCTGGCTTGAATTTCTCCACATAAAATGGGGTTTTCTTTTCTATTGCATCGTCAGATGCAAGTTTTCCAAACTTTTATGCTGTGCTCCCTTTTAAACATAATTTTCAATTTCAGATTATCTCTCTCAAGTTCAAAATTCTACAGATCTCTAGGGCAGGGACAAAATGCTGCCAGCCTCTTTGCTAAAGCTAGCAAGAGTGACTTTTGTTCCAGTTCCCAGTAAGTTCCTTATCTCCATCTGAGACCACCTGAGCCTGGACTTCATTGTCCATATCACTGTCAGTATTTTGGTCAAAACCATTCAAGTCTCTAGGAAGCTCCAAAGTTTCCCACATCTTTCTGTCTTTTTCTGACCCCTCCAAACTGTTTCAACCTCTGCCTGTTACCCAATTTCAAAGTCACTTCCACAGTTTTTGGTATCTTTATAGCAGTACCTCAGTCTCAGGAAACTTACAGTCATGGTGGACAGGGAAGAGGCATGTCTTACATGGTGGCAGGTGAGAGAAAGTGAGCAAGAGCAGGGAAACTGCCTTATAAAACCATCAGCTCTCATGAGAACTCACTCACTATCATGAGAACAACATGGAGGAAGCTGCTCCCATGATCCCATCACCTCCCACATGGTCCCTCCCACAACACCTGGGGTTTATATGGATTCCAATTCAAGGTGAGATTTGTGTGAGGTCACAGCCAAACCATATCACCTTCTAAGCCCTTCACTTTTCTTACTCTAGCACACTCTTCAGGGTGTTTCATCCCTGCCCCCATGTCTAACCACCGTCTCCAGGCTGATGACTCACAGATCTCTGTTCTTTTCACGCAGAACTCTCCCATGAGCTTCAGACCTATAAAATCAACTGCTTATTAATAACCACCACTTGTGAGTTTCATGGGCATCTAAAATGCAACATGTCAAAAAATTAACTTCTGTCTTTCTCTCCAAACTGTCTTTGCCTTTTCATGCTCCTCGTTTCAGTGATAACACCCATTTAACTGTCAGCCAAGCACAAAACATAGCAATCATTCTTATCTTTGTCTTTTCCTTTCTTTTCCACATGCAGTTAGTCACCATCTCCCATAAATTCTTCTTCTGAATGTCTTTAAATCCTATACTTTCTGTGTCTACTTAGTTAAGGCTCTCATCACTTCTTGGCTAGATTATTACAATGACCTCTAACCAATTTCCCTCCAGATCACCTTCCACACAGTAGCGAAAGGGATTTTTCAAAAACACAAATCAGATCTAGTCAGTTCTTTTCCTAAAAATCGTTACTGGCCTCCCGCTTACCCTAACTGTTATGCAAGACCAACAACCCACTTCCCTGACCATCACTCTTTGCCTATCCAGCCCCATCTCTTTCTAACCACACTATAGAACTATACTTTAGCTACAATGAGCCATTTCATGTGTCTTAGCCCTATACGGTCAAGTTCCCATTATTGGAGTTTTTCCACATGCTACATCCAGAACCTGGATCACTCCCCTAGTCTCATTTTTCCTTCCTTCTATTCCACTCTTTCCCAATACTCAGCCAATGTGTCCCTCCTCCAGGAAGTCCTCTTGGAATCCCACTCAGCCTGGTTAGTGGGCCCCTCCTGTTGCTCCCGTGACACTCCATGCTTTCTTCTACTGCAGCACACATCACATTAAGTTATAATAGTCTTGTTCCATGATAGACACCCCGGTCCAAGTCTTTAAAACCTGGGTCATTTGTCTTATTTTGCTTTATTTGTCTTAATCCTAATTCGGTGAGAATGACTGAAATCCATCCATAATTCCCTTGGCACCATGGGTTGAAAACCTATTAAAATTAAAACATAAAGGTTGCCACATCTATACTCTCAGTGGGTGGGATGACTTCATTCGATAAGCGATGATTATTGCATATTCACTATGTGCAGGGTTTTTATGGAACAGGCACAGGTTTTGTCTTATCTCTGTGCCAACTGTGCTAATATCTCCTCCACTTTCACCATTTTTATGTCCTTGAAACTTTTCTTCAAAAATTCAACCCCAGAAGTTTCTCAGCACTTCATTCATTCATGCATTCATTCCTAACTCTCCTTTCCCGCAAAGAAGTCATTTAGTATGCAGTTGCTGACACTCTTCTTGGTAATGAGAATATGAGGATATAGGATCTAACAGAAATCTGGTCTTATAGAACTCAGCAGGGAAGACAAGTTTTTTTCCAGCCACAGGATAAACTTCCTCAGACCTGGGAGGCCATGCCAAAGAGAAGCATAATTCTTGCTCAGTGTATCAATAATGGCTTAATAATTAATACTTCCACATACATTTTTTCTTTTCTTAGAATTTCAGCCAGTAAAGATGCTTTAAGGAGAAACAGAGTGTTTGTAGTTTAGAGGTCTAGAGAAGTATTTCATTTGGTTAAATACATAAATAAAATAAGTTTAAAAAAGGAATGCTTAGTCAGTGGTCTGAAGTATTAACATCATGGAGTGAAAGCATTGTGACTTGAGCAAGTCTGGACTATGACTCTATCACAGAAAGTTCAATCACAGAGGTCCTATAGCTCAGCATCTTTTTGTAAAAGGTTAAGTGACTTGCCCGAGGTGGTACAGACAGTATAACTGGTTAGTGATAATGCTATCAAGTGGGAATAAAAGACGGAGAAGAAACAGCTTCCTGTAATAATAAGCTAGCTCATCCAACCCACCTTGGAGCCCTTTCTATAAATTGCTCAACGTTGGCATTTGGGGCACGAGACTTCACAACACTCTCCAGAATCCTTCCGCAAACTTTTGTCTGCTGATGGATAGGAAGGCCTGGTTTGCCTCAGAGAGAGCCTTAGTTGTTGGCCGGGTCTGACTTGTCTGCACCACATGTACACAGCACTTCTCAAAGCATGTTCCTAAGACCGCTAGCATCAGAATTCCATGAGATGCTTACTGCAGCTTCAGATCCTGTGCCCTAACCCAGGTCTGATAAATCAGAACTCTGGGATGAAGTTCTGGAGTCTGTAATGTTTTAAAACACAAAAGTTTGAGAAACTCTGCATTCTAAAAGGCAGGTGATAAGCCTGCCTTTCCCATGCAATCATTCGTAGTGGATTCAGGCAGAACTGATTCTTAACTATACCATCTGGGAAGCCTTGGACAAAGAATTTAGTCTCTTTGAGTCTCAGTGTCCTCCTCTGTAAAACCAGGGGAATGGCCATACCCATTTATTGGTCATTCAGTTGAGACAATGCACATAAAGTGCTTAGCACAGAATTGGCCACACTCTGAGTGTGGAATAAACTTTTGTATTCTGCAGAATGCAGAATCCATTTATTTATGAATGAGCCCCAGAGTGGTGGCTTGATCCTTACCTAAAATAGAAAAAAAATCCTTAGGTTACGGGAGTCTAATTCTCCTACTTAGGAAGGGTAACCTCTAGAGAGTCAATATGATATTGGGAGAAGAGCATAAGGTTTGAAATAAGAGAGACTTGATTTCAAATCTTGACTTTGTCAATTACTAGGAATGATTATGAAGGTCAAATGATACAGTAATTACAAAATGTCTCATAGAGTGTCTTGCATTTAGGAGGCACTCTTTAAATGGTCATTATTATCTTGTTATTATATTATCTTGCCTGCAATCCTTGGCAAATTGCTTAGCTTTTGGGATTGTTTTCTTCATCCGTAAGGTGGGAATTATAATGTATCTAATCAAACAGATACATGGGATTCCCATTCCTTTTCAGGGGGAATAGAAACCAAGGAAATGAGAATTAAAACCCACAGTGAGCTATCACCTCACATCTCTTAGATTGGCTATTATCCAAAAGCTAAAAGAGAACAAGTGTTGATGAGGATGTGGAGAAAATGGAATTCTTGCACACTGGTGGTGGGAACACAAATTAATATAATCATTATGAGAAACAATATGGAGGTTCCTGAAAAAACTAAAAAGAGAACTACCATATGACCCAGCAATCCCATTCCTGGGTGTATATCACAGGAATGAAATCAGTATGTATATGAGGAAATGAAATCAGTATGTTGAAGAGATATTCGCACTCTCATGTTTCTATTCCTGAATGACCCCCTATGGTGTGTCTACATTTTCTCTCAAACATCTCCTCTTCATTAATATTCCTTCTTCCTGGCTTATGGGAAGACATGCCTGCATTGAACTGTTTATGCTGATCTGGTTTGATACCCTAGCTATGACCTTATGGTATTAGGGAATGGGAATACTTTGATATGCTACACACATGTATTTATTTTTCTTTTTCCTCCTTAAAAAAATTGACAGATTAAAAAAATATATACTTATGGAGTGCAACATGATGTTTTGAAATATGTGTACATTGTGGAATAACTAAATTGAGCTATTTAACATATGCATTACCTCATACGCACCATTTTTTTTTGAGGGAGAGTATTTAAAATTTGCTCTCCTAGCAATTTTTTATTTCAATTACAATACATTGTTATTAACTATAGTCGCCATGTTATAGATCTCTTGAACTTATTCCTCCTATGTAATTGAAATTTTGTGTTGTTTGACCAATGTCTCCCCAATGTCCCCACCCTCAGCCCCAGTAACCATCATTCTACTCTCTGCTGCTGTGAGTGCAATTTTTTTAGATTCCACATGTACGTAAGATCATTCAACATTTGTCTTTCCATGTCTGGCTTATTTCTCTTAACATAATCTCCCCCAGATTTACCTGTGTTCACAAATAACAGGATTTCCTTCTTTTTAAGGCTGAGTTATATTCCATTGTGTATATAGATCACATTTTCTGTATCCATTTATCTGTTGATGGACGCTTAGGTTGAGTCCACATGGTGACTATTGTGAATAATGCTGCAACAAACACGGGAGTGCAAATATCTCTTTGACATACTGATTTCATTTCCTTTAGATATATACCCAGGAATGGGACTGCTGGATCATATGGTAGTTCTATTTTTAGTTTTTTCAGGAACGTCCATATTGTTTCTCATAACGATTATATTAATTTGCATTCCCACCACCAGTGTGCAAGAATTCCATTTTCTCCACATCCTCATCAACACTTGTTCTCTTTTAGCTTTTGGATAATAGCCAATCTAAGAGATGTGAGGTGATAGCTCACTCTGGTTTTAATGCACATTTCCTTGGTGATTAGTGATGTTGAGCAAGAATGCTCTTATTTAATACAAAGTCACCAAAGATGAAGAAATAAAAAGAGATTAAAATATATCTGGAAACCAGGAAGTAAGCAGAGAGGTAGGCAATGTCTTCAAAGGCTCAAATCCAGCAAATTTCCACCAAAAAATCTCTCTCTGGATCTCAGGTTTTTCATCTGTAAAATGAGACTATTCTACTTGGAGATCCTAAGGGACCTATTTTTCTAAGTTCTGCCCTTTGAGGTACCAAGCTGCTCCATATGGTTCTGGAGTGCTTGCTGCCAGGAGGGCAGAAAGGAGAATCACCTGCCGCCTGGCAGGGTCTACATTCACATTCAGCTACTCTAGGGGCTTCACCAGAGACTCAGCAGCAAACCGGGAGGAGAATAGGGAGGCCGAGGGAGCTAATTAAGAGCTCTTTGATTGATGAGGAGCAGGGGTGGGCCCAGGGGGTGTCATGCATTTTGCTTTTCAGACTCAGAATTGGCTGTAATGAGAGACCTATTGGATCTGAAGTGTAGCTCTTCACTATCCCCTAGATTGTCATGGGAAGATCTCCTAGGAGCTCACAGAGAAGGCGGGGGAAGAGATTGTGTGTGCAAAGCTTCAGGCTGATAGAAGAACAGCAAGTTAGCATTAGCTGAATGGTTCTGTATAGCAAATGCACCTCGGTCTCTGGCGGTTGGGTAGGCACTCCTCCCAGACTCTGATTCAGTTACGAAAGACTGGCGTCTCCATCTTTGTAGCAGCTACAGGTCTAGGACAGGATGTGCCTGGGGTGAGAGGGCTAGCCAGGGCACCTGTCGAGTCATAGCCTTCCCTTCAACTGGCTGTGCTCACCCAGTCTCATAGACAGGCTACCTGCTTCCATTTCCTATTCAGCACACCACTTCTCAGCTACACTAGCTACTATAGCTACCGGAGCTACTGGAGCTCTATCATGAATCTCAGCCTCCCAACTCTTTTACTACATCTTAACAGTCCATGGGTGACCCTGGCCCTGCCACTGGTATCTTTGCTGATGACTGTCATATAGGCATGGCATACTCACTGGCTCTGAGTATCACACATGCAAGGGATCAGACCCATTGGCCTAAGTTGTTGAGCTCCTGCAGATAAGGTGTATTAGACCACAGGATGCCAAGGGGGCTGACTCCATGCTCTGCTCCTTCCTAGACGTCTTCCTCCCCATCCCCACTGGGTTGTGCTGTGCTCTTTTCCACACTGACTGTTGCTAGTCTGAGCTACGAGGGCATTCAGTGCTGGGTGCAAGGGCTACAGTGCTGATGAGAACAAGGCCCTTAGCTTCACTGGGCTACAGTCTACTGCGGGACTGATATGTTCACAATTGACCAGAGTGCGACTTGAGGCAGAATGGGAGATGTAAAAACAAATGTCCTGGGGGTCATGGCGAGAATGTGGAGGGCAAAGAGTGGTATATTCTGGTCAGGGATAGTGAGGCTTCTGTTCCCTCTGCCACCGTCTCTTCCCACTCTTCCTCCTGTTCACCTTGCCCCAGGTGTGCCCCTTCTCTGCTGTTTCTTGAGCACACCCAGCAGGATTTGCATCCCTAGTGTCTGTGTGCATCCCTCCTTTGTTTCGTTCAAGTCTCTATGCAAATATCAACCCTCTCATCAAAGAAGTCTCCCTTCACCTCTCTGTCTACAGGAGTGCTGTTCTATCTCTGTTATGCTCTGTCGCCATACACTGCTTATTCTTTCTAGCACATTTCACTATTTGACATATGATGGATGTTTATTTGTATATTTGTTTATTTTTTGTTTCTTCCAACTAGAATGTGAGCTCCATGAAGGCAGGAATTTAATATCATTTTCTGCTGAATCCCCAGTACCTGGAAGGGGACCTGGCACATTCTAGGGGCTAAATTGATACTTGTTCAATGAATGGGTGAACAATACAAAGGCTCCAAGCAGATAGTAGACGCTAGGCTGACCTTGACAAGCGGGTGGGATTGAGTTGGGTAGGCATTCCAGGAGGAAGCATTAGCCTAGGCAAAAGCATGGGAGCCAAGTGCAGGAGAAACACAGCTGGTGAAAGGTAATTGAAGGAGGAAGAAATGAGGGTTGGTGGCCAAATAAGGAAAAGAAACTCTCACTCACTTTGTGATTGTTTTGGTCGCCCACCCATCCACCTCTCTCACCTCCTCTTCTCCTCCATTCCAAACATTGCATGTCCCTCAAGGCTCAGCCAGAGTCTTACCTCTGTAATAAACCATCAGGCACATGCTTTGACATCTCATACATTTTGGTGACAGTCCTGCCTTTGTCACTGACAAGCTGTGTGACCTTGCAGGCAGTATTTCTTCTTATAGCCTGTGTGACTCTTACAAGCTGTACTACTCATGTAACTGCTACCTGCTCTCAGCATTTCAGGTCGACTTCACTGATCATGAACTTTTTCAGGACTTGGCCCCAGTTTTACATCAGCATTATGAAAAAACAATTAAAAACAACCCCCAGGATTAGGAGAAATGCAGGGGTGAATCT